>NC_000005.10:176513552-176663997 GCF_000001405.40 Homo sapiens | reverse complement strand
TCTTAGGAGTAGATCAGTTAATATAAATAAAGTGCTCCAAGAAGCGTCCAGAACATCGCAAGTATAAATTCTTGCTATTATTATCACTTTGCTGTTGTTGAAAATAACTGAGTAGATCTATACGTACTGACACATCATTATCTCCCAGAAATGCTGGTCAGTGAGAAACGCAGACAGGGTGTACGGAGGCCTCCGGTGGGCCATGCGGGTCTGCGGATGTGGCTCTGGCCTGCTTTGTTTCTTGAGGAGCTCGGCTTTCTAAGGCATAGCCCATGTCCAGGGTGGCACAGACAGCACTGGCCACAGTCATTGTCCTTGGGAGGGGAAGGGGACCACGGGACAGGGGAGAGAGGGGATTTGCACTTATCTTTCCATGCAGTGTGTGGTTTTTAGCCACCTGCCTATACTACCTATTTGAACAAATCAATAACTTCTTTTGTTTGTTTGTTTGTTTGTTTTTGAGACAGAGTCTCACTCTGTCGCCCAGGCTGGAGTGTATGATCTCGGCTCACTGCAAGCTCCGCCTCCCAGGTTCACGCCATTCTCCTGCCTCAGCCTCCCGGGTAGCTGGGACTACAGGCACCCGCCACCACACCTGGCTAATTTTTTCGTATTTTTAGTAGAGATGGGGTTTCACCATGTTAGCCAGGATGGTCTCGATCTCCTGACCTCGTGATCCACCCGCCTCAGCCTCCCAAAGTGCTCGGATTACAGGTGTGAGCCACCGCACCCAGCAAATCAATCACTTTTAAAGCCTGGTGATGTACCTATCTGTGTCTCCCCCGGACGGTGAGGCCCTGGGGCGCAGGGACTGTGTTGGAGTCACTAATGAATTCCAGGTGCCCAGCACTACCCGGCGCACAATGTTACTTGGTGAACACTGGCTGATGGCAAGCTGGCTGGATTCCACATGGTCCTGCTGGAGGGGACTGCACCCACCCTAAGCATGATTCCAGGGAGGTTCCCACAGATTGAGAGTGGGACAGACTGGAGCAGCCTGGGAAGGGGCTGGTGGAGGAAAGCAGCTCTCTGGCGGGAAGGCAGACCTAGAGAGCTAATTCCCAGACAGGATGATCCCAGGAAGCAGGACCCAGGTGTGCAGGTGCAGCCAGGCCTCCGGCACCCAAGGCAGCCTCTGGTCAAAGGCTGGATGCTTGGGCCAGAGCAGAGGCCCCTCTCTTTGCAGGGTACTGACGTCCCTATCTCTCCACATAGCTGCCAAGGGGGCCAGGGAGGCATTACTGTGGCAACAGCCTTGGCAGGGCTGGGGGTTCCTTTGTGACTTTCCCACCTCTGATGGGCTGACGCCCAGACCCGCCAGACCTGTGGTAATGCTGCCCATCAAGCCAACGCCTGGGCTGAGGAGCAGAAATCAGGCCCCTAGGCCTGAGCAGGGACCTGCCGGGGCTACCTCCATCATCAGCCCTGATTTGGGGCTACCCTCCCATGGCCCTCGTCCTCCTGCCCAGTGAAGCAGGAGGTCCTGGCCATGCCTTGTACCAATTATGCCTTAGCGTGGGAAGGGCCCCAAAGTGGGCACAGCCTGACAGTCCTCATGCATCGGGTAGAAAGGAAAAGCATGGCTTGCCCCTGCTGGGAGGTACCCCTGCAGTCATGACACGAACCGGCTGAATGCACAGGCTTTTTTTTTTTTTTTTTTTTTTTGAGATGGAGTCTTGCTCTGTCGCCCAGGCTGGAGTGCCATGGTGTGATCTTGGCTCACTGCAACCTTCACCTCCCAGGCTCAAGCGATTCTCCTGCCTCAGCCTCCAGAATAGCTGCGGTTACAGCCGCCCATCACCACGCCTGGCTAATTTTTTTTTTTTTTGTATTTTTAGTAGAGATAGGGTTTCACCATATCTCTACGGTGAGACCATGGTCTCGAACTCCTGACCTCAGGTGATCCACCTGCCTCAGCCTCCCAAAGTGTGGGATTACAGGCATGAGCCACTGTGCCCAGCCAATTTTCTAAGTAGAATGGGTTCCTATTTTACTTGTGCTGTCAAAAATGTGTTACCGTTAAAATGAAAGGTCTTTGCTCCATCTGGCATTCACAGCAAGGCCCGCTCCGACTGCCCCATTTAGTGCCAGGCCTGCCCCCTGCCTCACCCCTGCTTGGTCCGCTGTGTCCCCACTGGCAGCAGGGCAGGCTCACGCGATGATGTTCACTGTGTACCGTCTCCTTCCTTCCTTCCTGGACCCAGGTCTGCAAACTCCAGCCGCGGGGTGGATCCCACCCGCTAGTTGTGTTTATAGAGCTCAAGAGCCAAAAATGGTTTTCTGTTGTTTAATAGCTGAAAATCAAAAGGAGGATGATATTCACGACCCATGAAAATCACACGAGGTTCGCCGTCAGCGTCCACAAGTACGATGTGATGGGGACACCCCGCACGAGACTGCTTAGCCCCACCCGGAGCTGCTTTCCACCATGAAGGCAGAGTCAAGGGGAGCACGGCCCAACAGCCTAGCGGATTTAAGTAGGTTGGTGCAAAAGTAGTTGCGGTTTTTGCCATTATATTTGACCTTTGGCAGACAAAGCCGACTGCTTCCTGGCCTGGGCTGTGAGTTCCACGAGGTGGGGCCTTTGTTTTGTCCCTCACGTAAGTGCCCGCGGCAGTGCCTGGCAGCGACGGGGTGCTCCGCTGCCCTGGCTGAATGAGTGAATGGAGGTGTAGGTTGTGGAGCACATTGCGTCATCCTCCTAGAGAGAGTGACGCTCACCCCTTTCTCCAGCTCTATCGGGCGGACACCACCACCCACCCAGCCCAGCAAGTGGGCTCGGGCCCTGTAAGCACTGAGAGAGGCACCCGTGGGCAGGCAGCATCATTTGCTCCACTCCCCAGAGAAGACAGGGCAGAGGGTGGTAAGGCCTGGATTTGGCACCAGCGGGGTGGGCCCAGGGTCTCTGGAACGATGGCATGGGCTTGCTTGGCCCTAGGGGTCGCCCCAATGACTCTACACAGAGCTCCTTCCGCGAGCTGAGCCGGCTGAGCTGCGTGGGCGGCACTTTGGCGCCCTCTGGTGGTAACTGGGAGTGGCTACCACCAAGGCATCTGTGGCCTTAGCCTCCCCAGAAGGAGCTCCTGCCCGTCCTCTCCAGCCCATATGACCACCTCACCCAGAGATAAAGGAGCTCGCCAGCCTGGGTGTTCTCTGTCCCTCCAGCTCTCTCTGTAGGGTATCTTGGTGTCACAGGATGTCCTCCCACCAAGCTGATCAGGGAGCTGCTGGCAGCCTCTCCTGTGGTTAGACAGGGGACTCCCAGGCTGCCAGACAGTGTGCACCTGTCTCTACCAGTATGCACCTGTCCCTACCTAACAGATGAGTGTGCATCTCATCCTAACAGACGGTGGGAGGTGACCTTGGTCCCAAGGCCCAGGGACCCTCCTAGAGGGATGGACAGTCTTACAAGCTCCCTTGTGTTTTTGCATATCTGAAGAAGCTGCATCATCTGTGGGTAAGAGCCCCTTGGTGCAAAGAACTGCTCTAAGTTCTACTGGGGGACAGGAAATTTGTCTGTAGCCAGCCCAAGACCCCACTTAGCAGTGATCATCACGTCCTTGTCACCACGTATACATTGCACATTAGCAACTCTTCCTTGTCTGCCTCCAACAAGATACTGGGCTCTGGGAAGGCAGGGGCAGGTCTGAGCTGCCTCAGTAACCCCAGCCTCTAGCTAGGGCCTACCTAAGTGAATGGCAGTGGATAGCTGAGTGAGTCGATGGAGGATGAAGATGGATGGATGGATGGAGGGATGGGTGGGTGGATGAGTGAATGGATGGAGGAAGGGTGGATGGGTGAATGGATGGAGGAAGGGTGGATGGGTGAATGGATGGAGGAAGGGTGGATGGGTGAATGGATGGAGGAAGGGTGGGTGGGTGACTGGATGAATGGATGGGTGGGTGGGTGGATGAATGGATGGATGAAGAGTGGGTGGATGGATAGATAAGTGAATGTGTGGATGCATGGGTAGGTGGGAGGGTGGGTGAGTGGATGGATGAGTGAATAGATGGATAGATGAGTGAACATGTGAATGAATGGGCGAGTAGGTGGATAAGTGGATGGATGGATGGATGGATGGATGGACATGTAAATGAATGGGCAGGTGGGTGGTGGGTGGTGGGTGGGTGAGTGGATGATTGATGGATGGATGAGTGAACGTGTGGATGGATGGGTGTGTGGGTGAGCGGATGGACGGGTAGATGGTGAATGTGGGTGGATGGATGGAAGAATGGATATCCAGTAGCAGAACTGAGCTTTGGAGAACTCCGTGTTCCCAGCCAGGGCCTCAACCACTCCTACTCATCACTCCCATCCCATCTCTTCAATCTTGTTTCCAAACATATCTTGGTTACACCACTTCCTTGTGCTTATGCCGTTTGCCCCTCCCCACTCCCACCTCTCCAGCCACCCCAGGCTCCCTCACATGGAGCCCACGCTGGCTTCCAGGCCTCTACAGAAGCTGGTACCAAAACCTAGAACATCGTTCCCCCAGAGCAGCCCAGAGATGGTGCCCCTCCGCTCGCCTTCTCCCAGGCCTCCCTGCAGTCACTCCTGCTTTATTCATAGTATGTATTACTAACAAAAATGCTGGCCAGCTTGCTTTCCATGTCTTCCCCACAAGAATGCAGCACACAGGCAAGACCTTGCCCTTCTCTGTATCTCCACCCCTGAGTTGATGTTCAACTCACACTTGGGGGATGAATGTACCGCCCTTATTTTGAGTACAGAGGTTTTACCCAAATATATCAGACACACAGGACAGGTGTGGTGCGAAACTCCAGCAGGAGGGTCAGATTGGTGTGCCTCCTCCCAGCTGTGCGCTCCAGGCAACCTCCCTCCCCTCTCGGAGTCCATTTCCTCATCAGGAAAAGAAATTCCACCGCACAGGGTGTTGTGTGGTTTGAGGCATAAAATGAAAGTGAAAATGCAAGACACATGCACAATGCTGCCAGCTGCATTTATTGTAGCATGTACAAACCACTCACAGCCAGCGCCTGTCAGGGGCCCAGGACACTGGCCAGCGGGGCCAAGGAGCCACATTGCTGGGCACATGCCCCATACCCTGGCCACCCGGCAGCAGTGCCCAGCATCCCTCAATGACAGAGCAGCCAGGACCCCAGCGGTGACTGTCCCAGAGGGACCTACAGGGGCATGGGGCCAAAGCTGGGTCCTGCACCTTGTTTGGCCTGCAGATTTGATTTCTGAATTAATTTCTGCCAACAACTTAAAAAATCAGGACATCTCACATACAAATCTGTATTTCTGGCTTCTCCAGATTTCTGTCATTAGGCCTGCATTCCCACACCAGAGCAATTAGCTACACCTGAATATGGCAGCGGCCACTGTCAGACGGGGACCCGTGCTCTCCCCCCCATCCCCACCGCACTCTCTTGGTCTCAAGGAAAGTGGCTGTTACCGACTAGATTGTGCGAACTTTCTCTCATCACGATGTCTTTGTCTCCAGCAACAGTGGGAAAGTCAAAGTGAAGCAGGCTCCCAACTCAAGGGCCTGTTTCATCCATTTATACAACATACGTGGCCCCAGGGGCATCGGAGTTTGAGATCTCTGGACGAGCCCAGGGAGGGGGCGGCAGGATCACTCCACACACACCCCTTCACATAGCTGATGAGGCGGAGCTGAGGGCAGCAGCCAGCCTTCCCAAGCCTGAGCCAGTTGGCTCTGAGAAATTCCCAAACTCTCCGAACCCCAGAGCGCTAGTAGGCAGGCACAGGCTCTACTAGAGTGAGGTTGCGGGAGGAAGCCAGACCCAGGGAGTGTGGGGCTGGCATGCCCTCTAGTGCCCATCAGGCAGCTCTGCAGCCACGGTGAAGATGCTGAACTTGACTCCTAGGAGTCAACCATCCAGATCCCCCAAACAGGCTCCCGCCAGTCCCATGGCTTCCAGCTACTTCTTTTGCAAAATTGTCCTGACCCCCATCCCACCCCTCAGACCCTCTCCTGGGCACTCTACTCCCACCGCAGTCCCCAGCAAGGCCGCCCTTCCCAGGCTGCACCCTCTTCAAAGCGGGGTCCAGCCTCTCCATCCTTCAGGTCCCCGTGTTTCACTCCAGATTGGCCCGCAGCGGCCTCGAGGTGCAGGGAATAACCCTGCAGAGGTGGGAGGCCAGCTCCTAGTGTACAAGGGTCAGGCGGCACTTAGGTGAGTAGAACGGGCCAGCTGGGGCCCTTGGTGACTGGGGAGGCAGTGTCCCAGGTAGTGTTGCCACCGAAGAGCCGGCGTAGCCAGGTGGTCATTCTTCAAGAGAAGCTGTGGATCTGGACTTTTATGTGAAATCTACCAATTTTTAAAGGTTGGCTCAGGGTATAAACCACCCAGGCCAAAGAAAACATGTCGGCTGGGTGGGGCCGGGCCAGGGGCCCCAGTCAGAGAGTTCTGCTGAGGCCCCGCCGTGGACAGGACCTCGGAAATGGTGGGCGTAAGCCAGTGGTTTTCAAAGTCATCATTCCATTTGCTCCTGAGAGGCAAGCAAGAGAAAGAAAATTCTTGGACCCATTTCAGAGTCTGGGACACTGAGGCTGAGGTGGGTTCCTGGCAGGCTCAAAGTTACAGCTCATAGAAAAGAGTGCTCTGAAGCTGTGTGAGGCAGTGGCTCAGGCAACGCGCCCCATACAGCTACGCACAGAAAGGTGCGTCCCAGCACTGGGGGGCAGGGAACGGGGGGGACCCTCCACACAGCACCTCCCACCCCACTTGGCCTGCACCCTCTGAGCTGCGCCCTTCCTAGTCCCCTGGAGAGTCCACCACCCCAAATGTAGCCGAGACGGTGGCTCCCTGTGCACACGTGTGCCTGCATGTGTGTGTACACACGCATATGGGACAAGAGGCCCAGGCGGAGGCACAGCAACTTCCTCCGTGGGTGGACAGCACAGCGGTTCAGGCGAACCCCTCAAGGCTCAGTCCCAGCAGGAACATCTCCTGCAGCCTTGCCCGTCAGGAGTATAGTAGGAGGGTCCTGGGGGGCCCCCCAGAGGCCTGCGTAGGCCAGGCATGTGGCCATGGCCTCTGGCGGCCTCACCAGTTGGCTTTCACTGCCTTGATGTCACTCACGAGGTTCTGGGCCAGGCAGATGCCAAAGATCTGTAAGACAGAGGACAGGTGAGGGGAGAGTGAGGGCGGCCCCGGCAAGGGGAGGGGCACGTGGGGCCACAAGGGTACCTGGAGGAGGGCGATGCCCATGAAGACTCCCGCCACCACAATCAGGTTGTCCTGCAGCCACTTCTCAAACTGGCCCACGCAGCCTTTGGTGTGGATGAAGCCCTGCTGCTCCAGCTCCTGGGGACACGCAGGCACCAGGCTCAGCCTACCTGCCCTTCAGGCCGGCTCCCACCCTCCCAGCCTGCCAAGCTCACGCCCACCCCAGGGTCTAAACCTGCAGTACCTGCTCCCCACAGTCCCTCCACAAAGCCGGCTCCTTCTCATGGGGTCTCAGCACAGATGCACGCCCCCTCCTGCCTGCCCAGCTTCTCTCCTATCACCTCCCTTATTTTCTTCCAAGCTCTCAGCTGAGACTGTCACATGGCTGTTCATATTGCTTTCTCTAAGGGCTTACCGTCTTTCTCCCTCCACTCCTCCAGAGCCGACTGTCTCATGAGCACCAAATCTCTGGCCTCTAGGGCAAAGCCGGGCACCCCAAGGGTGCTCCACAGAGCAGAACTGAGCAAACCCACATCTGCCCAGGCCCAGGGGTCTACTCCCCCTCCGCTGCCTGGGTGTCTGGCTGGTTCCTGGGACTCAGCACCCTCTCCCCAAAGAATCCCTGAGGCCTTCCAGAGGAGGTTATAGACACTCTCATACCCAACCCAGTACCCCTGCCTGCCTGCCCCAGCCCGGTTCCTACCCCTCTCACCAGTTTGAGCCGGACGTCGTAGCCACACTGGGTGTTGAGGACATCCTCCTGAGGGGAGACAGGCCAGTTAGTGACTTGGTGAGGACGCATCCCATGGGGTCCATGGTACCTGGGCAGTGCGGTGGCTTTTCCTTCTCAGAGGACGCAGATGGGCCCGTGGATTCTGCCGTGTCCACCAGTCTTAAGTGAGCCTCTCTGAGGCCCATGTGCTTTTGTTTTTTTTTTGAGACAGGGTCTCACTCCATTGCCCAGGCTGGAGTGCAGTGGCACGATCATAGCTCACTGCAGCTTCGACCTCCTGGCCTCAAGTGATCCTCCCACCTCAGCCTCGCAAGTAGCTAGGACCACAGGAGTGTACCACCATGCCCGTCTAATTTTTTTTTTTTTTTTTGTAGACACGAGGTCTCACTGTGCCGCCCCAGCTGGTCTCAAACTCTTGGACTCAAATGATCCTCCCATGAGCCACCACACCTGGCCCCACGTGCCTCTTTCCCAGACGCTGGAATGCGTGGCTGCAATCGCCAACCTGGACCTGCCTCCGTTCAGGAATCCTGCCTGCTGGTGTGTTATAAGAATGGGGAGAAACCTGGTCCTTGGCATCCCAGATGGACTATGACTGAAGAAACATCATCAGGAGAGGTTTCTGCCCTGAAGAAAGTCGTAAAGGGACAGAGGTCCCCACTCCCTGCTACCCTGCAACGGTGGCCCAGTGGGGTGCTGGCTGGCAATGACCCAGGCAACCCCCGTCACATACAACCATAACTGAGAGTGACAGCCTGGCCAACCTTCAAGCTGGCCAGGAGCAGACAATGGCTGCGGCTGTGTTTATGTAGAGGTATAGGGTGCAGGGAGGCCTCCAGGCCAGTCCCCATCCCTGTGCCCCAGGGTCCTGCTGTTTCCATCTCACTACGATAAAAAAGACAGGTCTTGCTGAACAGGGAAAGCAGCCGCGCCCCAACAGGCCTCAGTGCCACCCATGTAAAATGACGTCCCCCAGCATCCACGCCCCCAGAGCAGGGCAGAGCGGAGCGGGGCCCTGTGGGAGGTTTCTCCAGAGTCTGTGCACTGGAAAGTCCCTTACCTCTCCTCCCCCAGCCCCACTCACCGCAGGGTCCCTGACGCAGCAGGAGAAGGGCACCCCGCAGCGCTCCCGGCTGGGGTTCAAGTCAGTGCAGTTGAAGTAGATATTGAGGTTCCAGTCATTGGGGCCTCGGGCTCCGCAGCAAGACCACTGTGGGGGCAGGGGAGAGCCCCAGGTGAGCCAGGCCCATCCCAGGAGCCTCACCCTGTTTGGGAACAAGCCCAGGCTGCAGGAATACAGGGCTGTCTGGGACAGGGCTGGGACAGCCAAGTGGGTGGCCACCTCCCCACCCCCACAGGCCTGGGCCCAACCTCCAGGCTGGTGGAGGCAGAGGGGTGCAAGGGAGGGGACACTGAGCTCCCCCTTCCCCGACCCAAGAGAGGCTAGAAAAAGGGAGGGAGTGGGACAAGGATACTGGTTCAATGACTGTGGCTTCCTCCAGACTACCTGAGAGGCAGGCGCTGGGCCAAGCCCTGTGGCAGCAGAGACCGCTGGGCCCCATGTCTGCAGCAGGCCTCCCACACTTGCCCCAGAGGTTCTACAAAGCCCTCCTCTCTTCAGTGCAGGGACAGGAGGGGAATCCTGCCACCCCCATAGCCGTGCCACCCCATTTCCTCCATGCCGGCTGGCATCATCCCACACCCCATCACCCCCACCCAGAACACCCTAAGCTGTCCCCTAGGCAGGAGCAATGGCGAGTTTGGGATCTGCCATGAACCATGGTCTTGTGGGGCACACGGGTGCACACAGCCCTCACTGAGCAGCAGCGCAGGGGCTGGAGAGCAGCCCACAGGGCTGGGGGAGCTCAAGCTCGGCAGCAGACACAGGCAGGCCCCGTGGCCGAGCCAGAGAGCTGGAGGAGTCAGGCCTGCCACATGCCCTGCATGTGCTGGTCCCAGGGCAGGGCTCAGCCTCCACCTGCCTCCTGGCACCTGCTCAGCGCCAGCTGCTCCTGCTACAGAACACTCTCCCTTCTCTTCCTTCTCCTCCTTTGGGAGGCTTCAAGCTCTCCACGCAGAGGCCTTCCCATTCTCCACCCTTCATTTTGACTCTTACCACAATGTACAATTTTGCATACACACGTATGTACATGCACACATTTGTTTGTTCTGCTTGTTCACCATCTGTCTCTTCCCGACTGCCAGCCCTGAGAGGACAGGTCCCAGCTTTCTTCCCCGCCGAATCCTCAGGGCCTGGCTCTGGGTCCGGCATATGGTAGGCCCTTAACAATCCTGTGCTGAATGAATGAATGAACTGCATCATAACTGCCTGGCTATGTCTGCCTCTGCCCTGGGTTGAGAGCTGCTTGAAGCAGGCACCAGCTCTGCTTCACCTCTGGATCCAGAGCTGACTCTTGGTGGTGAATGGTGCCAAGGGCCTGTCGCCGTGTGTGGGTGTGATCGGGTGTGACTCATGTGTGACTGTGGGACCATGTGTAGGTGTAGGTGTGATCAAGTGTGCCTGCGAGTGTGTGACTAGGTGTGGTTGTGACTGTGGGTGACAGTGTGTGACTGTGTGTTTGTGGTTAGGGGTGAGTGGGCGAGATGGTGCAGGTGGGAGGCAGATAGGGTTTCAGGAACTCTTCTCTGGCTGCTCTTCACTGGGGTTAAGTTTGTAAGTTTGAGGGCAGACCTTCCATCAGGGGTCTAAACTCTAATATACACAGAGGCCAAACATAGTATAAATGAGAGATAAGGGCTGACAGATATAATAAAATACAGAGTGTTGGGAACAATGGCAAACAGAGAGCCTCTGTACCAGTGAAGGGGCAGCAGCAACATAGCTGCAGCCAATACCGTGGGCCCAAGGTTTAGCAGAAGTAGAAATCTATATTTTATGTCACATTTCCTCCATTCTCCCGTGTGTCGTAGGCCCTGGCCTGGGAGCTGCTAGCGTGGAGCCCATGCCCTCTGTTTCCCAAGGCCGTGGCCCTATGGCACTAGGCAAATGGGGACCCATAAGGATCAGCAGGGGCTGGCTCTCCTCGGACGAGGACACTCCTGGGTCTCTCTCCTGGGGCCCGCTAGCCCAGGTGGGTAAGGAGATGGTCCCATCACAGGGAACTTGCTCCCTCATTCGTCTGCCAGGAAGGCGCCTCCTACAGGTGTCCCAGGCTGGACACTGGACTCACGTATTCCTGAGCAAAGTCAATGAGGTTCTGGAGGTCAATGTCGTCCCGGTAGGCCTTGACGTTGTTGTTGATGAAGAGGTTGAGCTGGTCTCGAATCCAGTCCTTGAAGACAAAGGCCAGGATCCCTGTTGCCAGCTCCAGGAAGAAGATGAGACCGAGGAACACGGAGAACTGGGGTTGGGCATACAGACAGTAGGGGTTGGAAACGCAGGGCTCTGGTGACCTCCCAGGGCTTGGGTGTGCCACAGGGAAGGGCTCCATCCCTACCTCCACCAAGACCCAGAGGCGCCCAGAGCCCCCACCTTCTATTATTTTAGTATTGTTATATGATGGTAATAGGCATCTGTTGTTACCTACCCATCCAATTCCCTTTGTCTGGTAATCACACCCTGCTGTCTCTGAAAAACCATCCTCCATGCAAACCTTTAGTTTCCAAGGTTCGGATGGAGACACCTCCCCAAACCCACCAGTCCCAGATACAGGACTGGCAAGTGCCTAAAGCCCACCAATCAGAGCACTGCCTCCCTCGGCCTCCAGGGATTGGTCCAGAGGCAGCCAATCAGAGCCAAGGAAACGCAATTAAAGCACTTTGGGAAAACGGTTGGGAAGAGAGCTCTCAGCCTCCAGCAGGAGTTCCTGGGAGGGCATGGGGAAGCCGGCTCTGTTCCTGAGCCTCCTGCCACCTGGGAATGGAGCCAAACGGGGGGAGCCCGAGAAACAGGGAGAAACCAGGCCAAGTGAAACTGTGGCAGCCCCTGGATCAAAATGCACCGGCAGCCAGCACAACCCTGGACTTTTCTTATTTGAGTCAATAAATATTTTATGCTTGGGCCACCAGGTCTCGGTCACTTACCATACCACGGAAAGGATCCTAGTAAATATAGACAACATGAATCTAACGATGACGATTATAGCATAATAATAAAGCTACCCATCATTAAGCTCCAACTGTATTGCAAGAACTGGATGGGAGGAGATGGGGGTTCCCAGGGGATCTTGAGGGCAGCACTCACAAACTTGAGCAGGAAGGTGTTCTCCCGGAGGGCCCCAATGCAGCCAGCAAAGCCCAGCACCGACATGACGCCTCCAACTACCACAAACAGCCACACGGGGTCAAGGCCTCCCAGATCTGTCAGCGCTGAGATGTTCGAGAGAACGCCCTGTGCCGGGCAGCAGAGGCAGGTGTGGGGAGCTGACCTTCCCACCACCTCGTCCCATACCAGCTCCACGCCCGCCCGCTGCCTTACCTTCTCACCCCAGGCCCAGAGGCCGATAGCCAGGAACAGGGCTCCCAGCACCTGCAAGGGCAGCAACAAAGAGCTCAGGGCTGGGAGCAGCCCCAGGACCCTCCCCCCTCATCCTTCCCCGGTAGCCAGGGCCTTTCCAGCGGAGAGAGGAAGAGGCACAAGGGCTGTGAACGGGATCCGGGGTCCTTTCCATCTTCCCAAGAACACATCCCAGTGCTTCTTCCCCACAGGACACAGCCTGGAGGACTGAACCCTCTGCTAGCCTTGGGATGGACATCAGGGGCCCCTTCCTGGAACTCCAAATTGGAGCAGACGGTGGCCAAGACACTCCTGCCAAGGAGCAATAGCAGCTGTGTCAGCGGGGGTAGCGACGGCGCCAGTATACTGAGCCTCTACACCTGACCGAAGCTGGTGCTGGGGTTCCAGGCTCCTAGCCTCCTTTCTGCACCCTGCCAAGTCCAGCTCTCCTGCTACCCTAAAGCCGTGTGACTGCGGCCCCGCCCTCAACACTCCTCCCCAGCCCAGCCCCATCCTACCCCTTTAACCTCCGCCTGCCAGAGTCAGCTTCCACGGCTCACGACCAGACACCCCTGAATGACAGGAATCTCAATCATCCCTAGCAGGATCCACCTAGGATCTGGCCTGTGCCAGTGGCTTTGCCCCATGGCCACAGCTCTGCCTGGGCCTTCAGAACACCAGCTAGACTCCCCACCGGGGCAGTCCAAGTGCCTCTCCTCCATCCTCAGCTTTCCCACCTTCCTGCCTCAATTCCCTACTGGGAAGAGCCCTGGATGTCCAGGCTGGTCACTCTCACACCTGACCCTGGGCAGGTCCCTGGGCGTGCAGTCTCAGAGGGGGAAAGGCTGTCGTACCCAAGCCCAGGGCCATGACCCCACCTCCTGCGACCTCCCCACCCACCTGCTTTATCTGCAGGCTCCTTCCCCTCAGCACATAGCCACGGCCAAGGCCTTTATCACCTTCCCTTCCCTGACCGTGGGCTCCCCACACTGCTCTATTCTTTCTCTGGAAACATCTTCCCTTCCCTCCTGCCTGCTGGGTCTGCTGATGTGAAACCAAACATCACTTCTCCTGCCTCCTCCCACTTGGCCTGCCCTTGGCCTTCAGACAGGGGACTGAGTGCCACTTTCTCCTTCCTGAACCCCACCTCAGTTAACTCAACCCCATTCCTCCCCGAGCTCCTTCCCAGGATGCTCCGCCTTCACCTGCCCCGGGGATTGGTCCAGAGGCAGCCAATCAGAGCCAAGGAAATACAATTAAAGCACTTTGGGAAAACAGCTGGGAAGTGAGCTCTCAGCCTCCAGCAGGAGTTCCTGGAGGGCTGTGTTCCTGGAGGGACCACCTGTGGCTGGTCCCACGGCCTCCAGCCTCAGCCTTCTGCCGTTCTTCCTCCTCACGCTCGTCTTCCATCCCATCATGACGCTGGCATCTCCCGATCCCCACCCAGACCTCATGCTGGTCCCACACCCCTACGTCCACCCGCCTGCAGCAAACACCTCCACGACCCACCGGCACTGATCGCCGCCATGCCGGGGATTCGCTGGTGAATAGGACGGACTCGACCCTCACGGAGCTTACACTCCAGCAGGGGAGATGGACAGTCAGTGAGCAGACAAGGAAACCTCAGATGCAAACAGACCCCTTAACAAATATCGAGCGGGGCGACGAGATGGGGGATGCTGGGGTTGGACGCCAGCTTTAGAGAGGGCAGAAGGGAGGGTGGGGGCATTTCAGCTGAGGTTTGAATGATGAAAAGAGCAAGAGGGAAAAGCCTGTTCCAGGAGGAGGGTAGGGCACAGGCAGAGGCCCTGACACAAGACCACGTCTAGTTCAAGGAACAAACTGAAGGGCGGACAGCCCGGCCCCGCGGGGCCCTGGAGGCCGACAGTACTCTAGGAGCAGTAAGAAACCACGAGCAGGATGGCCGGGCGTGGTGGCTCACGCCTGTAATCCCAGCACTTTGGGAGGCCAAGGCAGGTGGATCACCTGAGGTCAGGAGTTCGAGACCAGCCTGACCAACATGAAGAAACCCCATCTCTAGTAAAAATACAAAATTAGCCAGGCGTGGTGGCACACACCTATAGTCCCAGCTACTTGGGAGGCTGAGGCAGGAGAATCGCTTGAACCTGGGAGACGGAGGTTGCAGTGAACCGAGATCGTGCCATTGCACTCCAGCCTGGGCAACAAGAGCAAAACTCTGTCTCAAAAAAAAAAAAGAAAAAAGAAAAAAGGAAACCACAAGCAGTTTCCAAACAGAACAACACCAGGGTCTGCCTGACATTAAACATGAAAACCTCTGTGCCTGTTCCACAAGCAGCCTCCCTTAGGCCACCTTAACCCAAATCTGAAATCCTCCCTCCAGCCCCCAAGTGACCCAGCCCAGTCAATTCAGCCTCTTGACTTTCCCAGCAACCTCCCTCACCTTTCCCACCTCACCATCCCAGCTTTGCCCCAGCCCTGCCCCCATTCCAAACCTCCAGGCCCTGCCCCTCATCCACCCTCCACACAGCAGCCAGGCAAGCGGTCTCCAGAACAGAAGCCAGATCAGACCCATCACTGGAAGCCCTCGCTTCTCCATGCCACCTTAACATAACACCCCACGCTCCGCCCCAGCAACAAACCCGGGTCTCTCACGCCTGCTCCCCCTCGGTATTTGAGGTTACTTCTGCTCACAGCTCTGCCTCACCTCCACCCTCTGCCCACTAAGCCGTCACCTTGGCTCTGTACTTTCTGGCTGTGTGACCCTAGGTAAGTGACTTAATTTCTCTGTGTCTATTCCTTCAGTTTCCCCATCTGTAAAATGCAGATAATAAGGCAGTTGTGAGAATACAACAAATTGAACTCATTGTATCTGCCTAACAGCCCTCACAGGCAGATTCTTTATCGTCGTCTCCCAGGCAGGCAAGCTGAGGCCCGGAGAGGAGAGATGACTTGCCCAAGGTGTCCCAGCCAGGCCTGCTACAGCCAGGCCTTCTGACTTCTTTGCCAGTGCTCCCACACACTGCCCACACCCTCAAGAGCCTAGCGCTGCAGTGCAAGGACACCCACCACACCAGTGAGCTCGGTGACACGTGGGTGGGGGGCAGTGCCACTGAGTCTTGCTGAACACAAGGGAAAAGGCCTGGCATCTTGACCCAAGGCCTCAGGAGCAGAGACTGCAGAGGGCCACGGCTTTGGAGAGATGGGAAAAATGACCTGGCAGGGCCCAGGGGGACAGATGCCACCCTGGGAGGGGCACTAGTAGCTCCCTTCCCCGGTAGGGGCAGACCCGCCCAGGAGCCTCAGCTTGTCAGCTGTGGAATGTTGAATTCTGTTCCCCAAGGCCAGCTCCCAGGCTCTCAACCGGGGAGATCCTCTCCCAGCCGCCAAGGACTCGCCATTGTCCCTCCCTGCCCCTCCTGGCAGGTCAGCCTCCTTGTGCGGGACTGGGGTGGGCAGAGGACTGTGACCCACCCCACTCTGCAGGAGCCTAAGGTGAGGCACCTGACCCAGGTACTACTGGAAGGGAAAGGAGGCCGGGGAAGGGGCCTGGCGGCTCCCTTCACGCCAGAATCTCCTTACCGGCTAAACCAGGGGTGGGGCTTGGCACGCATCCCACATCCCAGGGTAGGAAGGAGGGCTGGGCGAGAGGGGGCAACCTGCACCTAGCACGCCCCTGGGGTCTTCAAGGAAACACCTTCCCTTTCTCCACCAGGCCTCGGGATTATTTAGGGAGACTCCCTACCCCAACCCCGACCCCACGCTGTCGCTAGGACCCGCCCCCAGCAATCCGGGCCTCTGTAGCTACCTCGGGTGGTCCTGGAAGTGGGCGTGGGTGTGGCAGAAGTGGGGGGATGGTCCCGAGCTCCAAACTCTTGGGGCAGGGAGTGGTCTCCCCCAGCAAAAGACTGAATCTCCCTCTCCCACCACCCCCCAGCACAGGGCAAGGCGCAGACCCCGCGCTCACCCAGAAGACAATGTTGAAGCCAAACAGGAAGTATTTCCCGCAGCAGCCGACCTCAGGTTCCTGGAAATGCTGGTGCTTGCCGGGCATGGTGAGCGGCCACCCGCCGGCCCGGAAACCGGAGCCGGGAGCCAGGCCCAGCGCCCCGCGGGCCGCCCTGGGCTAGAGCCGCCCGGGGCCTAGCCGGGCGGCTGCGGCTTCATGGCCTCGGCCACACAGAGCGCCGGTCGGGCCCCGCCCGCCCCTCAGGGACCGCCCTCAGCATCCAGACCTCCTTGCCCGGAGCCCTGCTGTCCCCGCCTCTGGACCGGGCCCCGCCCCCACAGCCCTCAGTCCCTTTGGAGTCCCGCCTCCTGACCTGGCTCCGCCCCCATAGATCAACTCAGTCCCGCCTGAGCCCCGCCTCTGGACCTGGCTCCGCTTCCCGAGCTCCGCCCCCACAGCCTGATTCGGACCTCCTCGCAGCCCCGCCTTCGGCCAGGCCCCGCCCCCGCGCAGGCCGCCGCCGCGTTTCCCAGCGTCCTGCAGACCCGCCCGGGACGCCGGCTGATGGCGCCGGAGGCCGCCGGGGTGTAGAAGCCTTGCTTCCCCTGCTGGGTACCAGCGCCATCCCAATCCCCAGCCTGCTGTTGGAGCCCATCCCAGGGGAAGGTTAACTGCTGCTCTGGCAGGCGAATGGGGAAGCTGGTCCGGATTGAGTTTTTAACACGTGCAGGACGTTTTGTCATTGTGGAGTCGCATCAGGCTCACCTTCACCCAGCGGAAATCCAGCTCTACTTATCCTGACTCAAACTCAGGCCAAACGAGGGCCTGGGCCTTGGTGCCACGCCGGCTGCGCCCTGCCAGGGGCATATGCCCCCCGGAACCTGGCTCAAGCCCCCTTGGTGGCTGAGTTTCCCCAGCCACACCCCCTGTCCTCCATACTGGCCAGGGTCCCGGTCAGGCTCCTTGGTACCCAGTGATCTCACATGAGCCCCTGTAAGACAGGACAGAGGCAGATCAAAGTTTGGGGGAACCTGAATCTTACTCCAGTTTGAAGCCCTCTTAAAAATAATTCCAACTTTGTTCAGAAGTATTTATTTAAAACAGGAACAGAAAGATGCTTAAGCTTTTATTATCAAGTTTATCCACTTCCACCACTTCTACCAGAACCTTGGTGAGGCCTAGCCCAGCATCCCTCCACCTCCACTTCAGTCTGGCCCTGAGGCAGGCAAGGCCCAGACAGCCCTGGTCACAGCTGGGGAGAAGGGGAGCGGCCTTGCAAGGCTCTCTCAGTCCTCAGCAACCCACGTATCCCTCTGTACAAATGATGGCGTTCACCCTCCAGAATGTCTGTGCCCTTGAGCCCACCACCCATGGAAGAGTCTGTCTCTCAGGCCACCTCACCTCCTTCCTGGGTGGAAACAGTAAACGCTGGACTATGGGTTTCTCCGCCTACCATAGAGCCCTCCTTCCCCGCCATGACTCACCCCACCCTCAGGAGTTTTTTCCACCCTGCTGCTGTCCTGTGGCCCCAGGACAAGCTAGGTCCTCAGACTGCCACCACTACCCCCATCTAGCCCCTAAGGCTCAGGCCCCAACTCATGTTAAAGAGTGTTTGCATTCCTGTTCACTTGAGGACAGGTAAGAACTAGGCTGTCTGATCCCCAGTCCCGCCCCATCCCCCAAAGTAATGAGGCTCAGTGGCGGCTGTCCCATTACATAGGAGGGGTGCCAAGGCCCCCCTCACACCACAAACTTGTTCTTGGCTAGGGAGTTGCTCTTGGTGGCTGTGTCTGCATGGGCCTGGTACCCAATGATGGTCTTTGGGGAGAGGCCCAGGCGCTCTTTGTATACACGCCTGCAGGTGCGGGGGACACAGAGGAAAAGAGACACAGGTAGTCATCAGAGGGTCCTAGAGATAACTTAGGCCACCAGACTCCTACCCTCATTCTGGCCACAGCCACACCTGTTGTGTCTTACCCATGTGGAAACCCAAAATATGACCCCCTTAATGCAAAAGGAGAGCTGCACTGCCGTAAGAGAAAGTTAGAAATCTGAACGCCAGACCTTCCATACAGGTGGGCAAGGCAGAAGGGAGGGAGGCTATGGAGACTTTCAGAGGTCTCCCATGCAGGCCAAGCCCCCTCCACCCACCTTCCCTCTAGCAGAGACCCAAGTCCCCACCCTGTGCCAGAGACCCTCCTCACCCAACGTGCAGCACGCCCGCCTGGTTTTCCGCCTCCCTCGTCCACACAGCGATCTTGTCCCCCTTGGTGCGGATGTTGACGACGGCCCCACATACCTCTCTGCTGTGTTCCTCAAAGCTCTCCCCGATCAGACACAGCAGCTGGACCCGAAGTAGGGGGTTGTGAGATCACCGGCTGGGACATAGGGACTGGCCTGCCATCCTTGAGACCACTGCCACCATGAGACCCACACAGCCCGTCTCTTCCCCTGAGGACCCTCCTCCTCCAACTCACCGTCTCCAGCCACAGCCGGTCCAGCTCAATGTGGCGCTGCTGCTTGGCCAGGCTGACCAGCCAGCGGCCACCCCGTTTATTCCTGCTGTCCTCCCACATGGGCTGGATGCCATCCTGCAAGGCAGATGGCAAGTCAACTGCCTCCCTGTGTTCAAAGGGAAATGGGGACCCACCCACCATCCCGGCCTTATCCGCTCTCTGCTGAGGCCCTAAGTAGGCCAGATTCTCTTATCCTCCCTTCCCTCAGTGCAAGCAGGTTCCACCCCCAGCCACTCAGCTCCCCCCGACAGACAGCACTGGTCACCTTGTATAGCCTTGTATATGTGCATGTCTCTTTTACTGAGTTCCTTAAGACAAGCATTCAAATCGGGGTGGATTAAGGAAGCCTCAGGGGCAGACCCCAATGCAGGCAAGGGGGACATCCCAGGCTTGGCTGCATGGTTCCCAGGCAGGGCAGAAGTCACTGGGGAGATCTCTAAACACAATGTCAGCCCTCCAGGGATGGGTGTGGCATCAATGAGTGTCCTCAAGCAATTCTGATGCCCTTCCCTAGTTAAGGAGCCAGGTCAGAAATCTCTCCCTCTCCCTCTTCCCGCCTCTTAAGGTCCTCCAAGGTGCGGCTTGGGCCTGACCTACTCTGTCCGGGCTCCTGTAGAGCATTTCCTCCAGTCAGAAACCACAACTCTGCTGAGAGGTGGCCCGTAGCTCCCCACCCCCACCCCTCTGAGGGATTAACGCAGTGGAGTCCGGGAGGGATCAACCCCTTGTCCCTTTGCGGGAGGGAAAGAGGAGAGCAGAGCTTACCTTGAAGAGGGCGTAGTCACAGCCAGAGGAGAGCTTGCTGGCCAGCTGGATGTGACTGTATAGCCTGGACAGAGCCCCCGACCCCATGCCAAAAGTCAAGGCTTTTTAGGGCCTGGTTCCAACTGGGTTCAGCCCTCCCAACTCCTCATCCGACCCCATGGCCTCCAAGCCTTTGCTTACACTGGCCTGCCACCTGGGATTCCACTCCCGTTTATCCAAACTCTCAAGACCCACCTTTTCCACAGAGCCTTCCCAGTGAAGGCTGAGCCAACCCCTGGGGAGGGTTTTAGACCCCCTGGTGCTCCCCCCTCCAGCTACAGCCGAGGCCTTCTCACCCTCCCTAGGGCTTGTGTAGCCCTTTTCAGAGCCACTCCCGTGAGCACCCGGACACTGAGGCAGCCGAGTCCTCCCTTTGCAGCTGAGACAGGTTCAGAGAGGGGAAGGAACTTGCCCAGGTCACAAAGCCCTGGAGTGGCCGAGTCAAGGTCAGCTTCCTGCTTCTCCTGCTCCCCAGGCTCTCTCCCTGAGCCCAAAGAAGGTGGTGGGGTGGGGGGTGGTTGTGCCCTATACCCCCTGGGCAGAACCCACAAAGCCCCAGCCCTCACAAAGGCTGAAAGGCCCTAGGGAGGGCTGGCTCAACCCGGAGAGAGGGAGCCCAGAGCTCAGAGCCCCCCAACTCTAGCCCCACTGGGGACAGACACTCACGCCCAGAAGTCCTCCACAGTGTCCACCTTGGTGACCAGGTGCAGGTTGTCCTGCCAGGCCCGGCTGCGGTCATTCTTGAAGAACCACAGAGCCCACCTGGTAGGGGAAGGGGGAGGCAGCCAGGAGGAAGCAGAGAGCCAAGTCCACCCCCGGGGCACCTGGACTGACAGGGAGGACCCTCCCCTTCAAGGGCGAACTGGGAGATGAGATTTGGGGCACAGCATTCCCCTCTCAGGTGAATGAAATCAGTTGTCCTGAAGGGCAGGGGAGGAGTGGGGGTGTTTGACCCACAGTCTCTGCGGGGTTAGGGCTGGAAGGGCCAACAGGGCCCAAGGCTTAGGTCAGCCCTGGCCTCCCACGGATGAAGAGCTAGGGCCAAGAGAGGCGGGGTTGCCCAAGGCCACGCTGCCAGCACAGAGGCTGGCCTGAAAGCAAGGGGCTGTGTTCCACTCGCAGGCTCCTGCCTACCTGTTCTGCAAGGGGTGCAGCTCCAGCTTGACTTCCATGGGGCCCCCCGTCCGGGCCTTCCCTCTCAGAGACAGCAAAGTCCTGGGAGAGTTTGGAGACTTTTCTCCTGTGGGCGTCCTCTCTGCTGCCTCCTCCTCCTTCTCCTCCTCCTCCCACTCTCGGATTCCACCCTCAGCTTCACTCACCTGAGCCAAAAAAAGGAGTCAGGATGGGTTGTGAGCTCTGGCCCTGGCTGTCCCTGTGCCCACCCTGCCCATCCCCTGCTCCAGGAGGGGAAGGCAGGGGACTCACAAGGCCTTCAGTAGCCATGCCCAGCTCAAACTCCATGGAGGACCCAGCATCTGAAAAGCCCCCAGCTACCAGCTTTTAACCCACCAGCACCTGCCCCGCCCACCTGGGGCGGGGGGGGGGGGGGAGAGGGCGGGGCCATGGTGCACTGGGGGTAGAGAGGCCAGGCTGATTACCTCAACAGCAAGCATTTAGTGAGTGCCTTCTTCGTGCAGGCCTGGGGCTGGGGAAGCAGCTGTGACCAAGCCCCACACCATGGGGGCCAAGACCTGAAGGTAAGCGTCAATATTTGGAGCCTGCTCGAAGGGAAAGCAAGGTCTGCATCCCGTGGAGGGTGACCCCAGAATGTGAGGTGGACGGCCCTGCCGATGGCAGAAGCAGAGACACTGACATGGCCGTGGGGCCTTCTGGCACCATCCCCAACCTCACATCAGAGCAGGTATTCATCTGGTCTCTGGAAGCACCTGAGTTTTTTTGTTTGTTTGTTTTTAAATAAAATATTCTTTTGACTAGAGATGAAGGAATCTCACTATGTTGCCCAGGCAACTCCTGGGCTCAAGTGATCTCCCATTTCAGCCTCCCAAAGTGCTGGGATTACTGGCATGAGCCACCATACCCAGTGGCATCTGAGTTTTTTAAAAGTTTAATCATCTGCCAACATTTAGACATAGGGGGGTTTTATACTAAGATTCACACTTTTGGTTTCTCTTGAGGATTTGGAAAGTTCCTCCCCGACTCACTGCCTCACAGGCCCCCAGTCCCTTTGGAGACACATGAGGCTCCCCACAGCCCCCACCTTACCTCCTGCCCCACCTGAGTGTTCTCTGCCTGACCTGGATGGTGAGGGTCAGGGCTGCAGCCACACAGCCTGGGTTCTAGTCCTGATTCTACCCTGACCGCGGCCAGGCCTGAGCTTCATCGAGTCAGTTTCCCCATCTGTAAAATGAAAATGTTAATCATACACAACTCAGAAGCTTGTTGAGGGTATTAAATGATATAGAACACATAGAACCCGTAGAACAAGGCCTGGCTTGTGCTCAACAGAAGTCAGCTGAGGGTTCTCCCAGGTTGGGGAGGGTGGGGACTGGGATGGGGAAGGAAGGCAGGGAAGCTTTGGACACCCTTTATCGGCCTTCTGAACAACCCCTTTTCTGTGGAGGCTGAAGGCTCCCCAAGTCCTTTAAAGTTTTGCCTCCTCCCCTTGGGCACTTTTAGGGTCCCAGACGTATAAAAGGCCCTGCTCCTCCCCCACACTTGGGGGGCTCGTGACCATCTGGAGGCTGAGTATTTGCTCAACCCACAGCCTTAAGCCCTGGTACGTGCTAGGCACAGGGTTAGGTGCTGCTACGGTGATGAGCGAAAAACAAGCGGGCCCTGTGCTCAGGTTTATGAGATTATGCATCCCTCAGACAATCTGTGTCGTCACAAACACAACCCACTGAAGGAAAGGGATTCGGGGATGGGAGAACCTAAAAAGTCCACGATCCAAGCTGGGGCTTCAGAGCGGCAGTTCTTAGGTGCGTGTATCAGAATCACCTGCACGGCTTGCTCATCACACGCTGCTGGGCCCTGTCTCAGAACTTCTGACGCCTTAGTTCTGGGCTTGGGCTTGAGGATGTTTCCATTTTATTTATTTATTTATATTGTTTTCAGGCAAGGTCTCACTCCAGCTGCCCAGGCGGGAGTGCAGTGGTGCCATCTTGGCTCACTGCCGTCTTGACGTCTCAGCTCAGGTGATTCCCCCACCTCAGCCTCCCGAGTAGCTGGGACTACAGGCATGCACCACCACGCCCGGCTAGTTTTGTTTTGTTTTGTTTTATTTTGTAGAGGTAGGGTTTTGCCATGTTGCCCAGGCTGGTCTTGAATGTCTAGACTCAAGCAATCTGCCCACCTTGGCCTCCCAAGTGCTGGGATTACAGGCGTGACCCAAAGCGCCAGGCCCAGGATGTTTGTATTTCTAACAAGTTCCCAGATGCTGCTGGCCAGGGACCCCGTTTTAAGAACCACTGAGAAGAAGGTCACTGAGAGGTGGTATTTGAGCAAAGACCTAAAGCATAAACAAGAAATAATAGGAAATAATTAACTGGGTCGGGGAGGGCATCTCTGGGAGTGGGAACAGTATGTGCAAATGCCCTGGGGCAAAGGGAATGTGGAATACCAGAGGACGAGAAGACAGGCCAGTGTGGGCGAAGCTAAAAGGGGAAAGAAATGGGTAAGCCTGATCCTAGGGGCAGTGGGGAGCCACTGAGCATTTTGAGCATGTACAGACTGGCTGGGGAGGCAATCAGATATGCTTTTCAGCAGGTTCTCTGGATTGCTGTGTAGGAAACAGAACCCTGTGGCTGCAAGAAGGTGTGGGGAAACACTGACTAGGATGCTAATGTAGTCGTCCAGGTGACAGAGGGGGCGGCAGAGAAGATGGAGAGATGATAATAGACTCAAGGGGTATGTAGAAGGAAAACTCAGTGATATTTAGTGATAGATAGGCCCTGGAGGGGTGAAGCACTGTGTCCCACTTATCTATTGCTGCACAACAAACCACCCCAAACTCAGTGGCTTAAAACAATAATCATCATTTATTATGCTCACAAGCGTGCAATGTGGGTAGTGCTCAGTAGGACAGCCCAGCTCTCCTTCAAAGGGAGGTCAGCTAGGGTGGCTTACAGGTTGGGGCTGGAGTCATCTGCTCACTCACACGTGGGGCAGCTGATGCCAGCTGTCAGCTGGAGCCTCAGCTGGGGGTGCTGGCCAGGATGGCACTGCGTGGCCTCTCCATGTGGCTGCTTGGCTTCTTCCCGGCGTGGTGGCTGGGTTCCCAGAGCAAGCATCCCAAGAGACAGGAAGCAGAAGCTGCCAGTTTCTTAAGGCCTGGGCCTGAAACCTGGCACCACATCAGACCCACTCTATTCTACTAGAGTCACAGGCCCAGATTCAAGGGAGGGGACATACTGCCACCTCTCAGTGGGAGGAGCATTGAAGAAATTTGGACAGAGGGAGCACTGGAAGAGGACCAGGCTGGGAAGAGCTCACGAATCTAGATTTTGTTGTTGTTGTTTTGAGACAGTGTCTTGCTCTGTTGCCCAAGCTGGAGTGTAGTGGCATGACCATAGCTCACTGCAGCCTCAAACTCCTTGGCTCATTCTCCCTCCTCAGCCTCCCGAGAAACTGGGACTACAGGTGCACACCACCATGTCTGGCTAATTTTCAATTAAAAAAAAAATAGAGATGAGGTCTCAATATGTGGCCTAGACTGGTCTCAAATCAGCCTGGGAGGGTTCAAGTGATTCTCCTGCCTTTGCTTCCCAAAGTGTTGGGATTACGAGTGTGAGCCACTGTGCCGGCCAGGAATCTAGATCTGATGAAGAAAAAGGAAGGAAGGGCTCCCCCCAGTACCGGGCATGGTCTTAGCTACCTTACAGCTGTGGCCCAGAGCCCAGCTCGGAAGGACCCTCCCAGCCACAGCACCCCTTCCCACCACTTCCCACAGCTTCCAGCCTGGGGAAGCTCCTGGAGTCTTGGATTGAGGTGACTAAGGAGAGACCTTAAGAGCAACCCCCCTGGCGCTACAGGCATCCTGGCCCCTCGCTGAGGCCCTTCCAAGTCTGTCTATGGGGGACATCTTCATGCTGGGATTGAACCAGCAGGGGCTCTTAAATCCCAGCCCTACCATCCTGTTCCTAAAATATCTTGAATCTGCCCATTCCTCTCCCTCCCAACTCCCCTGACTCCAGAGAAGCTGGTTCTGACCTTGGCTGCTGTGTATTTCCTGACACTCCACTTGCTTCCACTCCTGCTTTCCTACAGAAAGTTCTCCAGGTTCCTCGGGGGGATCATTTAAAATATTAATCTGGTCACGTAACTTCTTTGTTTAAAACCCAGGCCAGCTGTGGTGGCTCATGCCTGTAATCCCAGCACTTTGGGAGGCCGAGGCCAGTGGATCACCTGAGGTCAGGAGTTCGAGAGTAGCCTGGCCAACATGGTAAAACCGTGTCTCTACTAAAAATAAAACAAACAAACAAACAACAACAGCAACAAAACTAGTTGGGCATGGTGGCAGGCACCTGTAATCCCAGCTACTTGGGAGGCTGAGGCAGGAGAATCACTTGAATTGGGGAGGTAGAGGTTGCAGTGAGCCGAGATCGCACCATTGCACTCCAGCCTGGGCAACAAGAGTGAAACTGCATTTAAACAAACAAACAAACAAACAAACAAACCTCCAGGACACCCAGGATGTGATCCAAAGTCCAGGTCCTGGGCTTGCAAGGTTCTTAGGCGATCCAGCCTCCCATGCCCTGAGCACATGGAGCCTCCAAAAGGCTAGATTTGTTCCTGCCTCAGGGCCTTTGCACTTGCAGTTTCCTCTGCAACTTTTTACAGAACTTCTCCTTGTCCTTCTGGGCTTGGCTCAAATGTCACCTTCTCAAAGAGGCCTTCCCTGACTGCTACCCTATCTACAGAAGAACACTCTCCCCCATGCCCTCTAACTCATCACTCTGTTCTATTTCCTTCTTAGCGCTTAACACTACTTATTCGTTTATTCATTCAACAAATAATGACCTACCAATTACTTTGTGCCGGACACCATTTTAGGCTCTGGGGAGCACAGCTGTGAACAAAATGGATGGTTTCTTCTCTTTGCATCAGAAGGCCCTAGGACTAAGCCCTGGGACCTCTTGTCTGTTCTGTCAGTACTTGCTGTTTCATGCCCTTATCCAGTAATGGGCATTAAATGTCATTTAGAGAGTGACATGCTTAGCCGCCACCAGAAATCCAGAAGAGCATATCCAACTGCCCGCCCGACAGCTCCATCTGGGTATCTACTATGCATCTCAGAGCTACCATGTCCAAAGATGAATTCCTGACACCTCCTCTGCCCCGCTCCAGACTTGTTCTTCCAACCGTCTTCTCCACCCTTCCAACTGCTCAGCCGAAAACGCTGGAATGGTCCTGGGGCTCTGTCCTTCTCACCTGTTAGCACATGCCATGACCAGTTCTCCCTTCAAAACATCCAGGACCCAACCACTTCTCTTGGTCTCCATTGCCACCATCCCAGCCCAAGTGACAGTCATCCTGCCTGTGTGATGGTGATGGCCTCTGAACTGGTCCTCAGCTTTCACCCTTGCCCAAGAATAGTCCCCTCCCTACTCCCTACACAGCAGCCGTTAAAATGAAATCTGGATCACTCCCTCCTCTGCTCACAGCGCAGGAGCCCACAAGGCCCTCCTCCCTCCAGCCCTCCTCTCCCTCCCTCTGCTGCAGCCACAGTGGCCTTCAGTCATGCAGATCTTCAGATGTGCCAGCCACCTCCTGCCTTAGGACTTCCAGAGGCTGTCCCCTCACTTCCTAACCTCTCTCAGGGTAGGCGATCCCTGCCCATCGTATGTGACTGTCCAACCCCCCTCAGCCCAGTGCAGCAATTCCTCTGCTTCTCCTCCCTCACTGCCCCCAGCATTTGTCACCTCCTGACGCACCATACATTTTACTGATTTATTTTACTCATCACTTGCCTTCCTCAAGGTCCCCAAGGCCTTTTTATTTTTGAGACGGAGTCTTGCTCTGTTGTCCAGGCTGGAGTACAGTGGCACGATCTCAGCCCACTGTAACCTCTGCCTCCTGGGTTCAAAGGATTCTCCTGCCTCAGCCTCCCAAGTAGCTGGAATTACAGGAGCACATCACCACACCTGGATGATTTTTGTGTTTTTAATAGAGACAGAGTTTCACCATGTTGGCCAGTCTGGTCTCGAACTCGTGACCGCAGGTGATCCGCCCACCTCGGCCTCCCAAAGTGCTGGGCTTACAGGGGTGAGCCACCACGCCCAGCCCCCAAGGCCTCTCTTGTTCACAGCTGTGTCCCCAGGGCCTACAACAGCGTCTGGCTTATGGGAAGTACTCAGAAGTCAGAGGGAGCAGGGAGGATTGGTCAATAGATTTAGCAAAGTGAGTGTCGCTGACGACTTTTACAAGAGCGGCACAGTGGAAGCGTCTTTTGTGGTTTCTAGTTGTGAATTGTCTGCCCCATCCCACTCGAATGCTGAGTTCCAGAGGGGCAAGGGCTTCATTGGTCTGATTTCCTGCTGCATCTCCTGTACCTGGAATGATATCGGCACCCAGTAGGCACTCAGGGAAAACTGATTGAAAAGAACAAAGGCCAGTGACTTTCCCTCTCTGGGTATCAATTCCCTTATCTGTAAAATGGGAATGAAAATGCCTGCTTTGAAGGATTGCCGTGAGGACGTCGTGACGTAATGGATGGAGTACTTGGCACATTGCAGATGTTCAGTAAATGTCCCCGGTTCCCCTCCCTGTTCTCAGCTTCCCGTCCTGCCTGCCCTGCAGGACTCTGAGGCCTCTGGACAGCAGGAATGCTGCTAAATGTTTAATCTGCCAGGCGCCACACACAGAGTTACAAAGGCACATCTGGATTTTTGCAGAACCCAGGCGGGGCTGGAATCCCCAGGATCCACTTAAGAGAACTCTCTGCTCCAGCTGCTCCAACGAGGATCTTCTCTAAAACCCTTTCCCACCTTTTGCCATGTTCCCTTCCCAGAAGCTTCCAGAGTCATCGTCCTTAGTACATTCCTAGGAAGGGGAGAGGAAGAAAAGAATGGAAAGGCCCATTTCCTGGGGAAAGAGAGAACAGAAACAGTGAGAGTTCCTGAGGCTCGCAGGTGGCCACTGGCCACTGGAGGCCCACGAGCCCGAGCTTTGCCACCCCATGCTCTAAAGGGTGGTAGGGGTATGTGGCGGGGGAAAGGATCCATCCTGCTAGAGAGTGGTGACCCAGTATCCGTGCCCCCTTCTGAGGGAAGCACATACGGAGCAAGAGAGAAAAATGTAGCAAATGCTAATAATTGGTGAATCTAGCTGGGAACGGTGGCTCATGCCTGTAATCCTAGCACTTTGGGAGGCTGAGGCGGGCAGATCACCTGAGGTCAGGAGTTCGAGACCAGCCTAGCCAACAAGGTGAAACCCCGTCTCTACTAAAAATACAAAAATTATCCGGGCATGGTGGCATGTGCCTGTGGTTCCAGCTACTCAGGAGGCTGAGGCAAGAGAATAGCTTGAACCCGGGAGGCAGAGGTTGCAGTGAGCCGAGATTACACCATTGTACTCAGGCCTGGGCAACAGAGCTAGACTCCGTCTCAAAAAAAAAGGAAAGAAAGAAAGAAAAAGACAGACAACTGGCAGATATTCTTTTTACCCTACCTCCCCTCTTCCTGCTGTCTGCATCAACATGATGGCAGGAGCTGCAGCAGCCATCTTGGGCCATGAGGATGAAATGCATGTACTAAGAATGGTGCATCAGAAAGGTAGGAGTCTGGGTTCCTGATGACTGTGAAGTCATCACACCACCTGTGGACTGCCCACCACTGGACTTGTTTAAGTGAAAGAATAAATGCCTGCTTTGCCTAAGCTTCTGTGCTAGCAGCCAAACGAACTTCCTGCCTGACTCAGAATTTAACCTATTTTCTGTTACCTCGACACTCTGGACTGTCCCACCTGCTAGATCCCTTGCTGGGAATGCTCACCACCACTTGTAAGGTCCTTCTCATCTTTCAAAACCCAGCTCGAATGTCACTTTCTCCTGGAGGCTGTCCCCTGCTGCCCCTTCCCTCTTTGCGCTCACTGCTATTCAGCTCCCCAGTCACCCACTTGCTGCCCATCCATCGCAGACTCTCCACTGCTGGTCTCCTTCGGCCTCCCTCTAGCATTTATCTCGTCGACCTCTATCCCCAAGGTCTTTGTGCACTCTCTTCAGCTTGTCCTTCTTTCTCACTGCCAGAGCCTTCTCAGTCTTTCTCCAGGTTCCTCTGCTTCTGGCCACCCCGAAGTTTGCAGCACCTCAGGAGTCTGTTCCGGGCACTCTCTTCTTTTCACTCTCCGTGCACCCCCGGACGATCACACTCAGCCCTATGGCTCCAGCCACCACCTCTATGCTAATGACTCCAAACCCAGTGGGGCACTGATCTCACTTGGCTCACAAGAACAATTGTTAAAACTTCAGGAATCTGGCTGGGCGTGGTGGCTCATGCCTGTAATCCCAGCACTTTGGGAGGCTGAGGTGGGCGGATCATGAGGTCAGGAGATCGAGACCAGCCTGGCCAACATGGTGAAACCCTGTCTCTACTAAAAATACAAAAATTAGCCAGGTGTGGTGGCGGGTGCCTGTAATCCCAGCTACTCAGGAGGCTGAGGCAGGAGAATCCTTTGAACCCAGGAGGCAGAGGTTGCAGTGAGCCGACATCACGCCACTGCACTCTAGCCTGGGCATCACAGCAAGACTCTGTCTCGAAAAAAAAAAAAAGAAAAAAAAAAAAACTTCAGGAATTGTGTGAGCCAGTTGTTAAAGCCATTACATTGTTAAAAATTAAATTATATAAAGTTATAGTTACATTATGTTTAAAAAACATAGATAATACTCAAAACACATAACTTCCTAGTTATTTTACTATTATCTGTGCTCTTAAGGTTATTTTTATCTACGTTATCTGTCTCATGAAAATTCTAGATAACTGAACCAATTTTCTGTTCAATGACATCACACTGACAGCTTGGAATCAACTGTGGTGGGAGTATTTTACCCCAAGGACATTGGCAAACCACAAATCTAGGTGTTCCTTCCTGCCTACCCTTTTCCCGCCCCAACCTTGGAGAGCCATTTGTGCCATTTGTTAAAGAATTCTGAGTACACCGTGGCTCAAATCTGCATCTGAAGCCAGCCTGGAGTGCTTTCCTGAGCTCTGGGCTCAGATACCCTAGTGTCTGCTGGACACCTCCTCCAGCTTGTCTGTCATTCCCCCAGACAAGCTCATCATCATCCCCCCACCAAGCTGCTCCACCCCCTCAATGCCTATTTCATTTTGCAGCAACATCACTCACCCCATTGTCCAAACCAGAAACCTGGGAATCTTCCTCAACTTGTCCTTCTCCGTCTCCCATAACACCTAATAAGTTACTCCCAAGTGATGTTCACGTCTCTCCTTCCAGCCCTGCTCCAGCGTCACCCGGGCTTCTGTAGTTCAGGCGTCCTTGTCCCTCCTCTGGAGTCTGCCCCAGCCTCCTACTGATCTTTCTACAGCCAGCCTTATCCTCCTCCAACCCATCTCCGTTTGGCCCCATAAAATGCAAATCTCATTAGGTCTCTTGTGCTTAAAATCCTTCAGTGACTTCTTGTTTCCTGTGATCTGAAGTTCAGACACGCTTCATTTCATCTTCTTTCTCTCTTCCTCCTTCTCCCCGCTCCTCCATCCTCCTTCATCTTTCTTTATCTTGTACTCTGGCATCAGGAGTTCTTAATCCCAAGCCACAGAAATCACTTCTGGGTGATTTAAGCAAATAAGGAGTTTATTAAATACTGGGCAGCTCATGGGCCAGGTACAATAGCTCATACCTGTAATCCCAGCACTTTGGTAGGCTGAGGTGGGAGGATCATTTGAGGCCAGGAGTTCGAGACCAGCCTGGGCCACCTAGTGAGACCCTGTCTCAACAAAAAATAAATAAGTAAATCACAAACAAATACCCTGTCTCTACGAAAAATAAATAAGTAAATCACAAACAAATAATAAATATTTTTTAAATTAGCCTGGCATGGTGGCACGCACCTGTAGTCTCATCTACTGAAAGGGCTGAGATGAGAGAATCACTTGAGACCAGGAGTTCGAGGCTGCAGTAAGCTATGATTGACTGTGCCACTGCACTCCAGCCTGGGTGATACAGTGAAACCTTATCTCTTAAAACAAACAAACAAACAAACAAACAAACAAAAAAAACACTGGACAGCTCAAATAATCTCCAGGATAGCTAGAAAATCCACGCTGGAGACCACACAGCCTGAAATGATGCCCCAAATCCCACTACCAGGCAGACCTATGAAGAATCCCGATGCCATGGCTGGGCATGGACAGTGCAGCTTGTCCTGTTGGTGTTGGACACTCCCACAGTGAGTGTCACTGCTGCCAATGGTCCTTGGCAGGAGCTGCCACCACCACTTTTCCACACCAGAACACACCCCTCCCCCACCCCGCCCTCTGCTTCCCTGCTGCTTCCTGGGACTAGCTTCAGGTCCCAAGTCTGGAGCTGCACCTGTCAGTCACATGTCCTGGCTGCAAGGAAGACTGAGAAAGCAATTATCTGGCATAGTCATCTCTCAGAGGGGAAGGTGGGTTCTGCCTCAGAAGGTGGGGGACCCCTCTAAACATGGGAAGGGGGCAATTTTAATGCTGAGAGACCAAAAATAACTGCAGGTACCCTCCATGCTAGTTCTTAAAATAACACAAGTAAAATACTATCCAAGGGAAAATAATCAAACAGCACCAGTAAGGAAGGCAATGGAATGTGAAACTTCCTTCCCTGAACCCTCTCAGTCCCGTTTCCTAGGTGCAACTCCCTTTAACAGTTTTCTCAGAAATTATTACAGAGGTGTGGCCAGGTGAGGTGGCTCATGCCTATAATCCCAGCACTTTGGGAGGCCTAGGTGGGCCGATCACTTGTGGTCAGGAGTTCGAGACCAGCCTGGCCAACATGGTGAAAACCTGTCTCTACTAAAAATACAAAAATTAGCTGGGCGTGGTGGCACATGCCTGTAATCCCAGCTACTTGGGAGGCTGAGGCAGGAGAATTGCTTGAACCCTGGAGGTGGAGGTTGCAGTGACCCAAGATTGCACCACTGCACTCCAGCCTGGGTGACAGAGGGAGACTCCATCTCAAAAAAACAAGAAAGAAAAAAGAATTGTATATCTAGCCATAAATATGTGTATGTTTGTATATAAGGTGTCTGTGTATAATGTATATAGTATGTGATAAGTATGTATATGTTAGTATATAATATATATTTGACACATAGAAAATTATAAGTACTTATACATAAAATATAATTCCCTTTGTATCAAAATTGGCTCATTCCACACATTCCAGTTTGGCACCTTGCTTCTCACACTTACCACCACATCTTGGCACACTCCCATGTCAGCACACATGGGTCTAGCTCATCTTTGCCAACCATAGTGTGGCATTGCACTGGGTGGATGTGCCACAGTTAGCTAGCCAGTCCTGTACAGATGATCATTTAGATCATTTTCAGTTTTTTGCTACAAAAAAACATGCTACAGTGAACATCCTTGCACAGGTATCTTTGTGTGCATGTATGGCTAGAGTCGCACGGGATCAATTCCTGGAAGGGGAGCTGTTGGCTCCAAAGGCGCATGCATTTATGCTTGGTAAACATTGCCAGATTGCCTTCCAAAATGTCTGCGCCAATTTGCAGTTCTACCAGCGGCCTGTGAATGTTTTTTGTTTGGTTGGTTGGGTTTTTTCCTTTTTTTTTTTTTTTGCAGTCTGGCTGCTGGTGGCCCCCTCGCCTAATTACCTGTCACTTACACACCCTGCATTTCTGGCCACAGTGCCTTTGCCCATGCTGTACCCACAGCCTAAAATTCTCTTTCTCCCTAGCCTGCTCGATGAAATAGTCCCCTTCCTGTCAGGCCACAGTTCAGTTGTCACCTCTTTTTTATGTCCTTTCCTGACTCCCCTAAGTTGTCAGAGTCCCTTTCCTCTGGGATACTACAGCTTCTTGGGCATAATTCTATCATAGAACCAACTGAGGGCCTACTGTGTGCCTGGCATTCTGTGATCATTTTGACAGTCCCCACCGTAAGCACACAAAAAAGTGGTTTTGTTCTCCACCTCCCTCCATCCTGGCTCTCCAGCTGCGCTGTCTTTTGTCAGCACAGTCCTGCCTTGGAGCCTTTGCACTTGCACTCTCTATGGATCTTGTCCTCACCCATCGTGGTGTCATGGTGCCTCTCTGGAGTCTCTGCTACAATTCACCTGCTGGTAGAGGCCTTCCCTGAGCACCCTGTCTCAAGCACCCCTCCTCTAGTCCCCGTGTTACATCACCGTTACCTTCACAACTTACAAGCTGTAATGACCTTGTTGCTTTGGATGTTGATCCGTTTATTTTCTGTCCTGTCTTCCACCACTGAGCGCACGAACACACACGCGTACAGACACCCCCATGGTAAGCTTCCCGAGACCAGGAACCTTGTTTTCCTTTTCCGCTGCCTCCAGCCTTAAACCTGCACCACTGGACTAAGCGCTCAGTAAACATTCGTTGAATTAACCATTCCTGTTTTACAGAGGAGGAAACTGTCATTCAGAAAGGAGAGCCGAGTAGCTCAAGGTCCCACGGTTAATAAAAAGCACAGCTGAGATTCGAGCCCAGCAGAACTCCAAATCCAGTCGCGTGATTTCTTCCCCACTCTTCACACGCCGCGTTGTCCCCCTCCCTCAACTCCCAACAGACTACGCGAGTCTTACGGCCGGGGCCCCCAGGGGCGCGTCCCGGGCCCGCCCCGGGAGGCTCATCGGCTACGCGCTGTCACCCTCCCCGCCCCCTGTCAGTCAGGCCGAAGGGGCGGCGCGGCCGCCAGCGGGGGCGCTGAGCTCAGAGCTGCCGCAGCGCCGGAGCCGGAGCCGGAGCCGGAGCGCGCGAGCTCGCAGGGCGCGAGGAACGAGCGGTGGCTGGCTACGCACCCGAGACCCGGGCACTGCTGCGCTCCTGCTCAGGACCCGCGACCCGAGCGCCTGATCCCGGCCCTATCCCCCCTCCGGCCCCTGGTCCACCCCGGCCTGGCCTAGCGGAGCCCCCGCGTCCGCCCGCCGCAGCCGCCGCTCCATCCCCAGCCCCGGCCCCGCATCCAGGTGAGGCGGCCGCGCGCCGGGGATGGGGAACGGGATGAGGATGGAGAGGGGACTGGGGCGACAGGAGGGAGCTGGGGAAGGGGATGGAAAATGGAGGGAGACCCGGGGGATGCGCGTCAGTGTGCACCCCGGAGTATGTGAGTATGCTCCGGTGTTTGCAGCTGCCCGGGCGGCTGTGGGGACGTGTGTCCGCGCCCATGTGGGTCGGGGTATTCGTGCGCGTTGGAGCGTCTGCGTGTCCTGTGTGTGCACGTGAGCTTGTCCGTGGTGTATGTTTGTGTGCATGACCGTGTGACTGTGCCGTGCGTGTACAGGCGGGTCCTGGATATTCGCGCCGAACCCAGCACTCCGGTTCGACGGGGCTGCAGTTTGCAGGGCCCGGATAACCGAGGCAGTGGCCCCTCCCGCGTCCCCAGGTTTCAAGGACGCTAGGACTCTCCGCGGCCCTGAGGCTTCGCACTGGGGAGTGGGGTGGGATGGGGGGAAAGCGGGAGGGGGCTCAGGGTCCAGAAGGGCGCCGCGGTCTCGGGAGTAGGGGGGCATCTGCGTCCCGCGGGAGGGGCTGGGGTGAGAGTGCGGGGCCAGTGCACCGGTGCCCGTGTATCGCCCTCCCCAGGCCGCCAGGATGGACGTGTTCATGAAGGGCCTGTCCATGGCCAAGGAGGGCGTTGTGGCAGCCGCGGAGAAAACCAAGCAGGGGGTCACCGAGGCGGCGGAGAAGACCAAGGAGGGCGTCCTCTACGTCGGTGGGTAAGGGGCGGGGTTTCTGGGGCTGCAGGGCTGGGGGTCCCCCGACAGTGTGGAGCTGGGGCCGGGTCCCGGGGAGGGGGGTTCTGGGCAGGAGAATATGAGTCAGCAGATGGGGCGAGGTCAGCAGGGGTCATAGGGGACATAGCCAGCCCATAGAAGCCTGGGTCTGTATCCGGAAATGGGGACACGGGGCGGGCTGATGAGGTGGGGGGCTCCAGCTGAAAGGCCAGGGACCAGTGCAGTGATGAAAGCAGACAGCCTCCTTTTTCTTATCTTTTTTACCATTATTAATAGTTATCTGGTGTTGAACACTTTCTGTATGCCAAGTACTGGGTAAAATGTCATAACATCCATTTCCTCATGTAATGCTTCGGCCCATTCTACAGGTAAGGGAAACTGGGCTTCCCAGAGATCTAAGTACCTTGCCCAAGGTCAGCAGCTGGTAAATGCTGAAGCTGGGGTTTGAACGGAGCTTTATAGATTCTGAAGCCCCACCCCTCCCCTTGTGGCGCCTCCCTCCAGCACCTCCAAGGCCGAGTTGAGTTGCGTTCCAGGTCCACCTGCATCACAACTCTTGTGGTTTTACCTTTGCCAGCTCTCTTCCCCGTCCACTTTCCTTGCAACCACTGGCTGGTATCAGAAGAAAGGCCAGGGTTGGATAACTTGCCCAGGGTCGTGGCATATTTGGATTGTGGCCATTTGAAAAATATTTTGTGTCCACTTACTATGTGCCAGGCATCCTGCAGATGCTGGGGTTTCACAGTGAACAGGAAAGAATGGTTCCTGATCTCCTGATGGTGATACAGAGCATTTCAGCAGTGCGAGTTGACATCCAGTGGCTCCCTGAAGAGAATGCCTCATCCCTGAGTAATAAGAGGGGGGCAGGGCTGCAGAAAAGCCAGGTGCAAAGGCCCTGGGGTGAGCTGGGGGCAGGGCAGGAAGTAGTGGTAGGAGGTGAGGTCAGAGCGATGGGCAGGAGACAGTTCACGAGGGCCCTTTGCAGGCCAGGGCAAAACGTTGTTATCATGGCCACGAGAGACTGTAAGCAAGGGACTGCCATGATGTGATTAGTTTAGAACGGTCACTTGGGCCTCTGGGGACAGAAAAACTGCAGGGAGGCCTGATGAGGCCACAGGATGAGGGTGGCAGGGGCGAGGGTGGTGGCAATGGAGACCGGGAGAAGGCTAAAGTGCATGGCTGCTTGATCCCAGCTCTGGCCTCCCTCCTGCCTCCTCCCCAGGGTCTTTCATTCCTGCTGGCCTCTGGCTCTCTGACACTCTCTCTCTGATAATAGACTTGGCCCCTCCAAGCCATGCTGCTCTTCCCCTTAGATTGGCACTTCCTGCTCCTGCCTCTGCCTGGGAGCCCCTGATGGACCCCAGTTCCTACAAGTTAAAGCCTCGGCTCCCTGTACCCTGGCATTCAGTGCCCTTCATGGTCCTGCCTCAGTCTACATTTCCCACCACACCCATGGCTCCTGGCACATGGACTGTCCTGAAAGCACATTGCTCTGCCTTGTCTGTGTGGGTCCCTGGGCCTGGGATACCCTCTGCAGTCTCCTTTCTGATGTCCATCTGTTCCCCATTTCTCAAGGCCTAGGCAGTGTCCCTTCCCTCCTCACATAGTCAGTCCTTGGAGGCTGGAAGTCCTCTCCCCACTACTTGAGGTCCAGGAACTGAATCTGTTCTTCTCTTACCCACTTCAGACAGTGAGCGATTGGCCCAGGGCCTGGCACAGAGTAGGTGGAAGCTGATGTTTTGTGGGAGGAGTGAAAGGGGAGCATGCAGCCTGCCCCTCCTGTCTCTGGGTGCTGGTTGGCCTTCGCCCTGAGAACCCTGTCTTCCCACACCAGCCTCTTCCCCCACCCCCCCGCCGGGCTCAGTCTGCCTAGACACCCAGTTCTGGCTCCATCACTGTTGTCTGTGTTGCCAAATTGTCAGACGGGATACTCCCCACCCCGTTTCCGTCTCTCATCCTCCAGCCCAGATCAGGCCCTCTGGCCTTCCCAGCGGCCCCCAGACATTTTGAAGTTATCAAGTTGCTACCCTCCGAGGAAGGCCCAGCCAATGCCACGGGTGCCAGTTACAATCTGCACATCACCTTTAGACCCACCCTGAGCCTGACACCCCCTACTTTGGCCAGAAGAAGGGGTTTGCACCCTCGCTAGGAGAAGAGAATCTTTAGAGGAAATGGAGTGGGGCAGTGGGCTATGGGCAGTGGTGCATGGGGCACGAGGGGAACCTTTCAAAATACATGGCTTTGTGGCCTCCCAGCTCCACCCCTACTCCCACCCCCACCTGCCTCCTATCCTGGGCTACGTGCTGTGAGAGTGGTTGGTAGCTAAAGTTTTAGGGTCAGAAAGGCCTGAACTTGAATGTCAGTTCAGCCACTTCCTAGTGGTGGAACCCACACTGAGCTTCCATCCGTGAAACGGGGACAATAACAGCACCCGCCTCCCAGGGCTGGGGAAAAGTGAAGTGCAGCGGGGCAGGCAGAGGACTTGACACAGCACTGGCCCTCAGCCAACATCCACTAGAGGGGTGGGGTATCGCATCAGGTGGGAGAGAACTGCAACCCTTGCAGACAGAGGTGTGGGGCCCAGTGCAGTGATAAGACGGGGGTTAACATGGGGGTGCAGGTTGTAGGATGTGGGGACCCAAGGAGGCAGTGACGGGGCCAGGATGCCCACTCTGTAATCACCATGCTGTGCTGGAGTTTCTGTTCCCTCAGCGCAGAGTCCTTAAATGTGCCGCTTTTTCTCCCTGCAGGAAGCAAGACCCGAGAAGGTGTGGTACAAGGTGTGGCTTCAGGTACTAGCCCAGCCCTGGCACCAGCCCTTCTCTCACTTAGGCGGATGATCTGGCCGGGAACCAGAGGGCGGGGGCGGGGGAGACTCCCAAGGCTTCTGCGGGAATGCTCCGTGGGGAGGGCAGGCCCTGGGATACTACAAGGCAGGGCATCGGTGTTTCCCCCTGGCTCCCAAACCCCTTCCTCAACCCCCTCCCTGCTCCAGTGGCTGAAAAAACCAAGGAACAGGCCTCACATCTGGGAGGAGCTGTGTTCTCTGGGGCAGGGAACATCGCAGCAGCCACAGGACTGGTGAAGAGGGAGGAATTCCCTACTGATCTGAAGGTAAGCGATCCTTCTGACCCGCACATGCAGGCAAACACACACACACACACACACACACACACCAGGCACACAAATAAACCTGTCACCATCCCCGCCCCCCTAATCCTGCCACCAGCTTGGAACACAAGCCACTTTGCCTCCCATCCTGCAGGCCCGTGCTAGACTCAGCTCAGAATGCATCTGAATAAAGGCGTGCATGGGTGTGACGCTCCCGGTGATGGGGACCCAGACCTGGCTGTCTGCGTGTATCCTGCTTGCCAGCGTGACCCAGATGACTTCTGGCCACGTCTGCATGTGTCAATGATTGTTCATTCATTTCTTTTCATTCAACAAATATCCATGCCAGAGAGGAATTGTTGTAGAGGCTGCCGCAGTGAATAGGTTCCTACGTTCCTGCAGCTGACATTGTAGTGGGAGAAGATAGTAAAACGCAAGCCAGCAGGCAGGATGCTTTCCGCGGGGATAAGTGCTACAGAGAAAAGACAGAGAGGGCGATGGGACAGACAGGCAAGGGGTGAGAGGGCTATTTTGGCTGGGAAGACTTCTCTGAGGAAGAACCATTTGAGCTGACACCCAAGGGATGAGAGAGGCAGCCTTGAGATGTGTGGGAAGCGAATTTCAGGCTGTAGGAACAGCAAGTACCAAGGCCCTGAGGCAGGTTGGAGCAGGTGGGAGCTGTGCTGGGGTGGGTGTGATCTGTGCAGTTGTGTTTCCCCAGGGGAGCCCTGGGAACCACTCATGTGTGCATGGAGACAGATCCCCCTACTAGGACCCCCTGATAAGAGGGGGTTAAGAGTTGTGAGCTCTGAACCCACCTACCCCCAGCCTCAGCTGGGTTTGAATCCTAACTCCACTACTTCCTGGCTGTGTGACCCTGGGCAGTTCCCACCATGTCTCTGAACTTGATAGTTCACTTGTAAAATGCGAGTGAACACAATAGGAATCTCATGCAGATTGGAGATAATATAGATATTCTCAAAGCTTGAGTGTGTATCAATCACCAAGAGGCCAGGTTAAAATACAGATTTTTGGCCCCATCGTTAGAATTTCTGATTCAGTAGGTCTGAGGTGGGGCTGGAGGATTTGCATTTCTAACAAGTACCCGGGTGAGGTTGATGCCGCAGTTCCAGGGAGCATACTATGAGAACCATGGATATAAAGAGCTGGGTTTGCATACAGTGAATGCCCTGCAAGAGATTGTGGCCACATGATCACTCAAGCAGTCTGGGTCTGCCTGCAGGGGATCCTGTGACCACAGGCGTGCCTGGAAGTGGATCCCCCATGACATGTGTGTGCAGGCATTCGCTGTGAATGCTCTGTGTCTGTCCATGGACGCGTGCAGACCCTGCCTCCATGGGGATGGGGGCTCCTTCTGCAGCGTCTGGTTTGGGTGATCAGTGTACGTTCAGCATGAGTGCATCCACCAGGCTGTGGGAGACCCCACGCTGCCCTCCACTCCTGTCATTTTGCACAGTTGGTTCCTTCCACTGTTGGAAGTCAGGATCTTGACTCAGAAGTTCTAGTTCAAGCCCTGTCTCTGCATTTTACTATCTGTATGACTTCCCATTTGTTTTTTTTTGTTTTTTTTTTTTTTTGAGACGGAGTTTTGCTCTTGTTGCCCAGGCTGGAGTGCAATGGCACGATCTTGGCTCACTGCAACCTCTGCCTCCTGGATTCTAGCAATTCTCCTGCCTCAGCCTCCCAAGTTGCTGGAATTACAGGCACCCGCTACCACACCCGGCTAATTTTTTGTATTTTTAGTAGAGACGGGGTTTCACCATGTTGGCCAGGCTGGTCTCGAACTCCTGACCTCAGGTGATCCACCTGCCTCGGCCTCCCAGAGTGCTGGGATTACAGGCATGAGCCACTGCACCCGGCCATGACTTCCCATTTCTTATAATCATGTTACCAATAATCACTTCCATTCATTGATCTCTTTCATGAGCAGGCACTGTCCTAGATGTTTGACTCTAGATGAACTAACTCATTGACTCTTCCCAATGTGGCACCATAACCAGCCCGTTTTACAGATGAAGAGACTGAGGTTTAGAGAAGTGAAGTCACTTGCCCAAGACCCCATTTCCTGCCTGCCTCCCTTATAAGGTGGTCAGGAGGATAAGCTCAGGCCATGTCACTGGGGTCGCTTGGTGATGGCACAGGGCCAGTCCTAGTGCTGCGAGCTGGGGTGCAAAAGAGAGGCAGGTTCAGCCTGTCAGCCCCAGGCTGTGATGGGTGTTTGCACAGAACCATTTCTCTCTGGTCACCTTTCTCCTACTGGTGCTTGTTGACGCCTCAAGGCTACCCTCCCAAGGGAGCCCAAGATCATAGAGTTATAACACAGACAACAGCCCCTTGGGCCACCAGCGGCATGGGGGACTCATGCAGGCCCATGGTCTGCATTTCTGAGACTCTCTGCTTCGAGCATGCTTTCCATCCATCATCACGGAATCCTCACCAGCCTCGTTTCCCATGCAAGGCTGCTGAGATTAGAAGCAAAATGACTTGCCTGATGCCAGGTAGCTACCAGGTGGCCAGGCTGGGGTTGTTTGTTTGTTTTCTGAGATGGGGTCCTGCTATGTTGCCCAGGCTGATCTGGAACTCCTGGGCTCAAGCAATCCTCCTGCCTCAGCCCTCCAAGTATCTGGGATTACAGGCTATGGGTATTTTTTTAAGTGAACTTTTTATTGAAGTACAATGTACATGTGGAAAACTGGCAGCTCCATGAAATGTTCACAAAGGGAACTCCCCTTGTAACCAGTAGCCAGCTCGAGACAGAACACTACCCCCCAGGACCCCACCTTGTGACCCCTTCCAGTTCCTATCCCCAGGGCCAGGACTAGGGGGAGACAAAAGAGGTGTCTGGGGCACTCACTCATGGAGTCTCACTTGCATGGCCAGGAGACGGAGGCCAGGCCTCCCTAACATCTACACTCCAGGAGCCTCACCCACCTCCCCTCAGTCCTGGCCCTGCCTATCGCCCTCCAAGGGGAACTGCTTTCTGACTTTTTTTTTAGACGGAGTCTCGCCCTGTTGCCCAGGCTGGAGTGCAGTGCCACAATCTCAGCTCACTGAAACCTTCACCTCCTGGGTTCAAGCAATGCTCTTGCCTCAGCCTCCTGAGTAACTGAGACTACAGGCGTGCACCACCATGCCCAGCTAATTTTTGTATATTTAGTAGAGATGGGTTTCACCATGTTGGCCAGGCTAGTCTCAAACTCCTGACCTCAAGTGATCTGCCCACCTTGACCTCCCAAAATGCTGGGAGTGGTAACGGGCGTGAGCCACTATGCCTGGCCTTGCTTCCTGGCTTCTATCAGCACAACACTAGTTGGGTGTTTTTTGACTTCTTGTAAATGTTATCATGAGGCTGGGCACAGTGGCTCATGCCTGTAATCCCAGGCATGAGGCCGAGGTGGGCAGATCACCTGAGGTCAGGAGTTTGAGAACAGCCTGACCAACATGGCGAAACCCCATCTCTACTAAAAATACAAAAATTAGCCAGATGCAGTGGCACATGCCTGTAATCCCAGCTACTTGGGAAGCTGAGGCAGGAGAATCGCTGGAACCCAGGAGGCTGAGGTTGCGGTGAGCCGAGATCACACCACTGCGCACCAGCCTGGGCCACAGAGTGAGACTGTCTCAAAAAAAAAAAAAAAAAAAAAAAAGTCATCATGAAGGCCATGCTCTTCTGTTCTGTATCTGGCTTCCTCCATTCATCAGGAAGCTTGTGAGACTCAGCCCTGCTCTTGTATGCATTGTTGTTCTTCATTCTTGTTATGTAGTATTCCATTGTGTCGTTAGGTCACAAGGCACACATCCATTCTACTGATGTTGGACATTTGGGTTGTTTCCAAACAATGTGCTCAAGCTGGCTTGTTTTGTTTTGTTTTGTTTTGTTTTGTTTTGTTGAGATGGAGTCTCACTCTGTTACCTAGGCTGGAGTGCAGTGGCGTGATCTTGGCTCACTGCAAACTCCGCCTCCCGGGTTCAAGCGATTCTCCTGCCTCAGCCTCCCAAGTAGCTGGGACTAGAGGCACGCACCACAGTGCCCAGCTATCAAGCTGGCATTTTTAGCACTACATTCCATCCCTGGGTTCTGGTCATAGCTGGGTGACTTGGGGGCAAACTAACATTTCCCCACCTCCTGGGCCTTGGCATACGCATCTGTGCAGTGGGGAAATGAGCCAGGTCAGGAGCTGGAAACTCATGTGCCCACAGGGCCCACTTAGACAGGTAATGTGAAGGAGCTGACGCTGCCTGGATGGAGCTGGGACACCCAGGGTGCAGACGTGGTCAGGGCAGGCTTTCCCCAGCACCAATGCTCCGGGATCCCAGGCGTGTGCCAGCCCCACATGAGGCACTGCACAGGCTGTGCATGGATCCTAAGCTATCGCGTGTGCTTGTGTGTGCAGCCAGCTCAGTCCCATGTTTGTTCACATACATGTGGTCACCTGCAGGTGGCTGGCCATGTGTCTGGCAGCCCGCCCACATGCATGCCCGCTGGTCTGCGCCTGTCTGGGCAGCAGACGCAGCGGGTGGGGGGGAGAGTCTTAGCTCACACATCCAAGCAACACCACGAGCTGTGGCTTCCAGCTTATCTTAAAATAGCAACAGCTGAAGAAACGAGGCCACACAGGGCCCGGGGGAGGGATGAGTGGAAGGTGGCGGGGGAATGGCTCAGAGCCCCTGCCCAGCCCTGTCCCTGAGCCTCCAGCTCCCTTCAGCCCAGGGGAGCCTGAGGGTTATCTCTGGGGTCCCGATGCCCAGCACAGAGCCTGACACAAAGGATGAGGCATAAGCTGGTGACTGAGTATCCAAATGGTGGAAGTGTGGAGGCTGCCAGGCATTGGGGGAGCGGCGTGGAGAGCCAGCTCCCACTCCATGCTGCCACTTCAACTGTGATTCGGGGGAATTTCCCCCTTCACCTCCATCCCACTTCCAAGGCACTCCAAATAAATAACTGAATTAGAAATTATCCTTGCTCTGCCAACCCACCCTAGCCTTCCCCACTCCAACCCACCCAAAGCTTACCACTGTGGGAATTTGGGGGGCATCCTGGCTGTCCTCACGAGTCCTGACCTTTTCTGCCCACAGCCAGAGGAAGTGGCCCAGGAAGCTGCTGAAGAACCACTGATTGAGCCCCTGATGGAGCCAGAAGGGGAGAGTTATGAGGACCCACCCCAGGTGAGGGGGCAGCAGGGCTGGGCGGGACTTTGGGAATCCAGGATGATTGCTGCCGTCCCTAGCTGGGGTGGGACATCCCTGGCATGAGATGGTTGGGCCAGGGAGCTTGACATCCCTCTTCTAGAACCCAGGCCCCAGGAGGTGGGAGCAGGGAGGAGAGGGCAGATAGGGTCTAGCGCTGGGCCCCAGGCACACCTGCCCAAGAATTCTCTGTTGTCCCCAACTTCCAGGCTCCTCCCCTGCCCAGGAAAAGGGGAATGTGCTATTCCTCCTTCAGGGAGAGGGTTCTTGGGCCGGGGCTTGGCCACTTGGTCTCAAACTCCTCCTCCTTTTTGCTCTTCTCTACTCCACCCCCATCCCGGTGATGCAGGAGGAATATCAGGAGTATGAGCCAGAGGCGTAGGGGCCCAGGAGAGCCCCCACCAGCAGCACAATTCTGTCCCTGTCCCTGCCCCGCCCCCCAGAGCCAGGGCTGTCCTTAGACTCCTTCTCCCCAATCACGAGATCTTCCTTCCGCTCTGAGGCAACCCCCTCGGAGCCTGTGTTAGTGTCTGTCCATCTGTCTGTCCTACCCGCCCGCGTCCAACCCCGGGGCATGGACAGGGCCAGGGTTGCGGTCGCGGCTGGGAGCCTCGCCCCTCCAGTGTTGCCTCCTCCCATCCAGCGTCTGCGCGGATGTAGCATGTTCTATGTGTTTTTAAACGAAGATCCGAGCGACGGCTCCTCCCCGATCCCCGACAGTGGCTCTCCAAGCGGCCCCCGGGCAGCCCCAGAGCACCCCGCCCGACTCCCATTAACCTCGAGAACCTTTTTTTTTTTAACCAAAACCAGGAGCCAGGCTGTGCCATGTCCCCCGCCCCCCATCCCAGCCGGCCCGGTCCGAACGCGGGCGTCGTGTGTTGTGATTGTGGCATGGAGAGTCCCCATCCCCCCCATGTGAGCGTGTCCCGGGCGGGTGGGCCCGGCCGCCCCCGAGAGTCCATGAATAAAGCTAATCTGTCTGTAGCCAGAGCCGCACCGGCAGGGCTGGGCTGGGCGCCGGGTGGGGGCGACACGTGGCGGCGAGTCTTCCAGGTCCCAGCCTACCCCTCTGTGCTCTTTGGGGTCTGGCACACACAGCCCAGGTACAAGACTGGCCACCTCTGGCTTCGCGTCTCCATCTCCCACTCTGTCCCCCGGAAGGCAGGTCGGGGAGGGTGCCCCCGGGGCTGGGACACGCAGTTGGCTGGGAGGCGGGAAGGTGGCCTCGGGCGCCTCCTGCTAGTCCCTAAAGTGCCAGCTGGGAGTGCAGGATCTAGGGAAGCCCCATGCCGCCGCAGCGTTGGGGCGGAAGGGCTCACAACTGGCCGCACAGGTAGCGCAGGCGCGCCGATGCCCACTCACGTGCGGACCCGCGTGCCTGTCCGTGGGTCCATATGCGCGAACCCGAGTGTGCGCACTCTGGCCGCGCGAGCGTGCATGCACGCTGGCCAACACGTGCATCCCATTCGAGCGCTGAAAGACCTCTCCCACTCCAGAACGTGGACACGCACAAAGCCCCGCGCGCACCTGCCCAAAGCAGAAAAACTTGTCTAAGGGGAAGGGAAATGGGCAACTGCCCCTGCAGCCAGCAGAGCCCTGGCCTCCGGTGCTCCACCCTCCCACCCCCACGAAGGCGCCGGAATGTTTGAGGCCGAAAGTTTGAGGTGGGCGAGGGCCCGCAGAGGTCTGGGATGCCGCCCGGGAGCCTTGAGCGGATCAGGATCAGCACTAGGGGGCCCCCAACACCGCCTCAGAGTGAGAAAGATGGGGGCGGAGATACTGCTGGCTCCGCGCAGAGGCACCGCCCCCCATGCGCTGCCTTTATTGGCATAGGCAGTCCCTGCGCGAGGCCCCGCCCCTGCCCTCTTGCCGCAGAGGCCCTCTCTCCGCGCTTGCACCGAGGCCCCGCCCCGTCCCGCAGAGGCCCCGCCCCCACCCGGACTGGCTCTTGGCGTGGCTATGCCGCAGAGGCCCCCAAACTCGCCTGCGCAAGACCCTGCCCTATTCTAAACCTCAGTGCGACCTCAATTCGTGCCGCAAGCCTGCCTCGCCCTCCAGCCTCTAGCTGGAAGAAGGTTGCTCTATTCAGTTAGCCCCCGAGTGTTAGCGCCTCCTCTTTCCCTGAGTTGTTGGGGGCAAGAAGTGGTGCCAAGCCGGGAAGAAGGCCTTGAACGCTGCGGGAGACCGTTCTGCTCAGGTCACCTTGGCCCGCAGGGTAGGGACCTTTATTTCCGGAAGTAGGAGGCAGCTGGCAGACGTGAGGCGGGTGGGGTGGCGGGGGGGAACAAACCGGTGGGCTTGGATTCTCTGAGTCACTTACGTGAGGATGCCAGGAGCTCCAGATCCCTTTTGGTTGAATTAAGATGCTACTCACAACCCACAATCCGTGGAGATTGCAAACTCGTGGCCCTCAGGCTGAATTTGGCCTGTAGATATGTTTGATTTGCGAGCACAAGGTTTTAAAATTGTAAAATTTGAATGCCTTTAGGCTGGACACACTTCCAGTTGGTCGCAGTCCCTTCCCCTCCTTTTGTATCACACCCATCCACTTCACTCATTTTCATGCACTGCGTGGCCCCTAAAGACTGAGTTTGCCGCCTCCAATCCAGCTACCAGCACCTGATCCCCATTTTTAAACGCCAAAACCAGGTTTGCCATCTGGCTTGTGGGGAGATTCATTCCTGCTTCCTGGGTGCCAACCCTCACACCTGGTCCCACTGAGAATGGTTCTGCTCAGAGACCAGTGTTCTCATCTGCCAGGGTCAATGCATTCCAGGCACAGGCCTAGAAGTGTCAGCCAAGATACCAGCCTCGTGTCAGAAGCCTTGACCGTGTGCATGTGAGAGCCCACACATCTCATGGGCTCTCTCTGGTGACAGGGACCAAGCCATTTCCCAAGTGCCCAGTATATCCATGAAACGCTTATCTCCAGTAATTTCACTGGAAACTGCCATCAAGTCTTTCTTGTTTTTTACCCCCAATTTATGGATGAAGGAATGAAGGCTGGAGAGGCAGTTACCTGCCCACTGTCGCCATTGCTAGGAAGTGGCAAAGGCCACATTTGGCCCCAAGCCTGTCTCCAAAGCCCACCTCCTTTGGAATTTCCAAAAGGGGCCTGCTTTGCCTCTGAGGGGAGATAAACAAAAGACACAGGAAAATGTGGAGGTAGCAGCGTGGAGATTACGGACACTTGTGCAATTTCATGGAGCCAGGTAGCGAGGTTGTGTATGTGGGTGGGTTTGAGCTATGTGTGCACACTTACAAAGGTGGTATGGGCATGAAGTGTGCTGTGTCTGTATCAGTGTTCACGCATGTACCCATGTTGCGGGTTCGTTTAGTCCGACAGTGTGCGTGGCACAGATGCTCTGTCCTTAGATGGAGGAGGGGCTGCAGGGAACAGCCCTCAGGTCACTGCTCCGACTAGAGCTCACCTAGTGATCACAAAATGGCCAACAAATACATGGAACAAGATAATCTTGAGTTTTACGAAGAACAAAGCAGGGCGGTGTGATAGAATGCGACGAAGAGGAGGTGGTGAGCAACCTTAAAATAAGGCGGCCAGGGGCCGGACACGGTGGCTCAAGCCTGTAATCCCAGCACTTTGGGAGGCCCAGGCAGGCGGATCATGAGGTCAGGAGATCGAGACCATCCTGGCTAACGTCTCTACTAAAAATACAAAAAATTAGCCGGGCATGGTGGCAGGTGCCTGTAGTCCCAGCTACTCGGGAGGCTGAGGCAGGAGAATGGCGTGAACTCGGGAGGCGGAGTTTGCAGTGAGCGGAGATGGAGCCACTGCACTCCAGCCTGGGTGACAGAGCGAGACTCCGTCTAAAAAAAAAAAAGAAGAAGAAAGAAAGAAAAGAAGGCTGTCAGGTCAGTTGTCTGAGTTGTCTGAGGAGGGGAGGTTGGAGCTGAAACCTGATGGAGGAGAGGGTGGTATGGGAAGACCTGGGGGGTGGCAAGTGTCGCAGATGGAGGAAAAGCCCACCTCGCTGTGTCTGTGTGTCCCCAGCAGTGTGGCCATCAGGCTGAGCCCAGCCAGGCCTCCTGAGATCCGTGGATCCAACCCCACCTTACCTGGCCCATGATTTCCCTTTGTCTGCCTGCCTCCTCCTCCATCCAGACAGCGGCCGTCACCTCTGCCTGCCGCAACCCTCCCTCTTCTGAGCTTTTGTTAGTCCTCTGACTGGAAGTGATTTCTCCTCCTCACCCCCATCCTGCTTTGCTGTGCACACAGAGACTGCCTTCCCACCCATGTCAGCACCCTGAGGACCATTGCTGGGTGGCTAACCTGAAAACTGCCCTCTCCCACTGATGGAGGGCTGGGGACTGTCCCCCGTCCCCGCTGTTCGTCGGTCTCCCTACCCCCACCCCCAGCAATGCAGCTCCACAGCTTTCTCTGGAACTTTATTTTTGTTTTCTCCCTTCCCTATTTATAGCTCTCTCCCCTTCAAACCATCCCTGCATCCATCCTGTTGCCTGGAAACAGGCTCTGGGCTGAGGGTGGGGGAAGGCCAGGCCGAGCCCAGGCAGGGGAAGGAAGAGCTGTCACCCACTCCCCTCTTAGTACCACCCCCAGGCTCCTAGAAGCCCACCCCTCCCTCTGCCCAGCACCCATCGTGTTTTTTAAAAAGAGAAAACAAAATGTGACAAGCAGCGGCCTTTGGGAAGTCCTTCCTGGCTCCTCAAGGGCACCATGATTTCACTTGCACCTCTCAATAGCCTACCTGCCCGAAACTTGGACCCATTTTTTCAGATGAGGAAATAGAGGTTTCAAGAAGCAAAAGTCTTGCAGCCCAGTGGAAGCTCCATGCTGTGGGGTTGAGAGCCTTGGGATATCAGCCTGACACACTGAAAAGAAAGCTTGAAAGCATAAATCATTCTGTAATTCTTTACTTACAGAAGGATAGAGAGAAAAAGTTTACAACAAACCTGCCACACAGCAAGCCACTGGCCATGCATCTGCCATGCCCTCTGCCATGCACCCTACCATGCCCCTGCAGTACCCCCACCTACCTCCTACTGTGTGCCCACCACACCCAACTGCAACTTGACTTCTGGCCCTAGTGCTTACTCCACAGATTGGACCAGGCTTGCTTCCTGACTCTGTCACCCCACCAACTGTGGCAGTGGAAGTTCACATAACCTCTCTGAGCCTTGGTTTCCTGAGCCCCAAAATGAGGATGCTAATTTCCACCCCATAGGACTAGTAGGAGAATTAATGCAATACTGATGAGAAAGTGCTTCGTAAATTATAGGGTGCTGTAAATTGGGAGTGATCAATTAGAATAGTTAATATTGTTTATTGTTATTGTCATTGTTAGGACCAAGAGGTAGGGCGGGGAACCAAAATTGGCCCTGAGATTAGAGAGGGAGCCCCTGGCCAGGGTCCAGGCGGAAGGACTCCTTTCCCTGGCAGAATGAGGGACATGGGTGGGGGCTGCCTGGGTGCACCTGCAGGATATCAGGGAGTGGAGGAGGGCACAGAGGTCTTCTTGTGCCCAATTTCTCCCTCTCAAGTGCTCCATCCCTTATTGTCTACCACCAACTCATTGTCCCCTGCCCTAAGATCCAACTTTGCTTTCCAAATAGGCTCTCTGGGATAACTTGAGCCCAGGAGTTCAAAATCAGCCTGGGCAACATAGCAAGACCCTGTCTACAAAAAATACTAAAAATTAGCTGTGTGCAGTTGCTCACACCTGTAGTCCCAGCTACTTGGGAAACTGAGGTGGGAGGATTGCTTGGGCTCAGGTATTGGAGGCTGCAGTGAGCTGTGATCATGACACTGCACTCCATCCTAGGCAAAGCAAGACCCTGTCTCAAAAAAGAAAAAGGAAAAAAAAAAAGGCTCTCGGGCAGAATGGGAGAGAGGGCTGCCAAGGAGCAGCTGGGCCATGATTCAGCCTGAGTCACCCATCCGAATCCTGGGGCCTCCCTCATCCAGGCCGGGCCGCAGCTGCTGGGGGTGAGGGGGGTGCAGCGAGGGGGGAGGGGGCCTGTGTGAGCAGCAGGCTGTGTGCCTGTGTGCCCAGGCTGGGGCTCTCATGACCATCAGTGCAGCACTGTGAGGGCCCGGGGATAGTGCATGTGAGGAGATCAGGGTGGGAAAGGTGACCCGATGTGCATCAGTTATCTGGGCTGACTGAGGAGGTAGAGTTTCCTCATGTGTGTGCATATGTGTATGTATGTAGCATGTGCACATGTATGAGGGCGTTGTGTGGGTGTCTGAGTAGGGCTAGAGTTTGACTCCCAACTTTATTACTTTCTAGTTGTGCAACCCTGGCAAGTTACTTAATGTCTCTGAACTTTTTAGTTTCCTCACCTATGAAATGGGAATAATTGTATTGTCTCAGATGGTTTTCTTTAGGATTAAATAGAATGAGGTGATGACTGTAAAACACTAATGTACAGTAAGTGGTATACTACCATCGTTATCATCATCTGGGGGGTGCTGGGTTATACACGGCACACAGGAGGATGGGTGTGGATCCGAGTATTCAGAGGGTGCAGGTGTGTGGGGTCTGGGTAAGTATTTTTTATTTTTATTTTTAAATAAAAAAATATAAAAAATTCTTCAATCTTCATAGCCAACTACAACTACAGGTAAGTATTTCTTGAAGGAGTGTGTGTTTGTATGTGGTGTGTGCATCCCTGAAGCAAACACAAGAACTTTACAGAAAGTTGGGTTTATATGGCACTGCCTGCCCTCCCCCCTCCCCCCCCCACACACAGAGCACACACCTTCTCTAGTGGCTTCAATTTGCTGAAATATGGCCTAGACCAGGGCCAGTATCCAGGCAACGAGTTCAGGAACTGTGGATGCTGTTGTCTTGGGAGTCTCAGACCTCAAAAGTTTTAGCCTCAAACAAAGCTAGAATGGGAGTAGCTGCCTGGGTGTGAGAAGGGGATTGTGCTTTATGGAGGAGATATGAACATGATATGAATGTGAACGAGAGGGGAAAGAGGGCAAGATACATATTTTGTGTGTGTGTGTGTGTGTGTGTGTGTGTGCGCGCGCGCAGGGGTGGCTTTGGGGGGTGGCTGCTGTCTCTGCTCTGGTACAGTCTGCTTGTCTCCATGGTGCCTGTTGCCACACACGCTTGCTTTTCAGAAAGTCACTGGGATTGTTTATTCCACCCCCGGCCTGGGCGCCAGCCAAGGAGCTGCAGGCACTTGTTTATCTTCTGGTGCGTACGAGTGTGTATGGCTCCCCAGTGGCAGAGCAACCCGAGATACATACACACACTCACACGGGTGTGGGTGACCATGTCATTTGTCACAGGGTGAGCCTGAACCCTAGGATGAGTCACAACCTGGGACCAGATGGATTCTCTCCACACGGGGACAAAGATGACCCCCAGCAATTCCAGGTGTATGCAACACCGATTCAGCAAGGCCCAAAATTCCAGGAGAGTATGAGAAGCAGGTGGCTTTGGTTCCGTGCTCCATCCCTGACTCCCCCTCCCCCCAGAACAAATCAGTGACCTGGGTCACTGCCCACCCTAGAGCTGGCACTGGGATCCATCCCATCCCACCACATGGGCTGGGGTGGGGAGGTGGTCTCCCAAGGAAGATGGAGGTGCCGTGGTCAGAAAAGGGTGTGCGGTGCTGGGCTTGCCATAACACTGCTGTCCACAGCAAAAGCACTTGGTGTATTTTTCCTCCCTACATCTTCCTTAGAGCTCTGAGAGCTAAGCATTGTATAGGATGATATCGAGGCTAAGAGAGACCTCAACCAAGGCCATACAGCTAGTAACTGGCAAAGCCAGGACTGAACCCACATCAACTGCCTCCGTACCTGTTTTGAGCTCCTCCTCTGCGTTAGCAAGTGCTTTGTTTTGTTGTCTGGAAATTTTCATTTTAAAAATGTTTTTATCAACAAGTCCCTATGGAACAAGAGTGGTTGCAGAGCATGGCAGAGGACCCAGATTTTAAAGAGGCTCCAGTGTCCACATAGCAGGCACTGCCAGAACTCTGACCACATCCCTTTGGGTGCCCTTATCATTTTTGTGCCTACCGGCAGGACTCCCAGCAGTACCTGCATCTTTGTCAGAGAGATGCTCTCAGGCTGCTGGGACCCACTTTGCCCACATTCATTGTGGGCCAGGAATGCCTGGGAATTAACATACAGCCCATGCAACACATTCCAGGGATGGCCCTTAACCAACATCTGCTGGTGTTGGGATATAAATACCCCACCTCCCTTGCCCTCAGCCAGGAGAATTCCAAAATGTGTATTTACCCCATTTTCCAAGAGTTCCCTGCAGGATTAAGCTTCACTCACTGTGGTAGCCGACTGAATAATAACCTCATACTGGCTGCCTTCCCTTCCTGGGTCACCTTCCCACTCCCCTGCTGGTGTCCTTGCACCTCACAAATAAACCACATGCTTTTGATCTTTATCTCCAGGTCTGGGAGCTGCCCTGGGGTTCTGGATCCCATCCCCACCTTCCACCTGAGCATCCAGACCCAGCCCTGGTCCTCTCTTTTGCTGACACCTTGCCCTTTCCCTCTGTACTGGGCCCCTCCCATCAGAATTTAAATGCCTTCAAGTCTCCTTCAGCTCAACCTCCCATCCCTCTGGAGAGACTGTCATTCCTGTTTTCTCTCTCAAAGCCCAGACTTTCTGAGGAAGTTGTCTACTTGCCCACTCCATTTCCTTACTCCTATTTCCTCATCAACCTACCCCCCACCATGGCTGCCTTCCACCCCGCTTCTCCACTGACTGCATGTCATCAACTTTCAAAGTCCAGAGGACACCTTTCAGGCCATATCTTGTCTTCTTGATGTGGTGACTCTCCTGCCTTCTGGAACACTCTCTCCCTTGGCTTCTGAGACATAACACTCTCCTGGGCTGCTTCTGGCTTCTCAGATGACTGCTTCTCATTCTTTGCTGCAGCCTCCTTTTCCCAGCCAGTCCCTTCATGTTGGCGTGCCTCAGGGTTGGCCTAGGGCCCTTGTGTCTCCCTACCTGGTGTGTACCTGATGTGTACGTCCTCCCATGTGCCGACACCCCTCCCATGACCTCCGGCACCAGCTGGAGGTGGATGGGCTCCCTTGTCTGCCTTCAGCTTTGGCCACGGCAGAACTCAGTTCTGGACTCAAATGTATCAGCACGGCCATCCTATAAACCCCTCTTTCCCCCCAGAGCTCATAAATTATCTGTCCTTCATCCACCTGGCTCCCCAAGGCAGAATCTCAGAGAGACAGCAGAGTTCTCTCTCCCCTCCACCCACATCCACCTCATGGTCAAGGCCTATTGATTTTACCCCTAGATAGGTATCCAATCTGACTCTTCCTCTCCATCCCTACAAATGCCGCCGTGGTTCAGGCATCATCATCGCTCACCTGAACACCTGCCATAGCCTCCTCACTCCTGCCTAGTCTCTGCTCCTGTCCACCCTTGTCCTGTCCCAGGGGGACCTTTTTCGATCACAGGTTGGTTCTTGCCACTTTTCACATCTGTGAACTTCTCCAAGCCTTAATTTCATCTGTGTCATGGAGCCAGTAATGTTTACTTTGAAGGGCTGTAGGGAGAAAAAAATGAAATGATGAATGTGGAATAAGGGTTTGTAAGCTCTGAAGCGAAATGGCCTTGTGGGCAGTGAATGAGCAATTTTCAGGACCGGAAATGTGAGGAAGCAGCCCTGGTGTGGTGCTGTCCGTGGTTCTGAAACCGGTCCGACACGCTGAGGTTTTCTCCTTGCCTGGCGTGCTGCCTGGAGACGCCAGTCCCACGGATTTTCTTCATTTATCACCTAGAATTTTAAATATATATATATATATATATATATATATATATATATATATATATATATATATATATATATTTTAAAGGATCACGGTGACTTACGGTTCACCAAGTAAGAGAGGGGAGTAAAATGTAAGAATAAGAAGTGAGGTTTCAAAGTTAGACTGCATGGGTTTGTAATCCCAGCTCCACTACTAACTAGATGTGTGACCACAAACAAGTTACTTATCTGCTTCTCTTTTCTTATCTGAAAAATGGAGATATAATACATTAATATTAACTTGCTCCTAAGCGATTGGAAATTGAAATTAGATAAAACCTGTAAACAGAATCTTAGCGCCGTGTCTGGCCCTACATAAGCATCATTGCCAATGGTTGTTACCATTGATTAATAGATGGTGGTGGCTTCATAGTACCGGTGCGAGAGGGTTTTGTCACATCTAGAGCAATTACGGAATTATTTTTTCTCCTCTGGGAAGTCAAGGGGAAGGGAACTCCTTCTCTGCAGGGAAATGTGGAGGGGGTGGGCAGCGAGTCTCTGTGTCCTTGGTGATTCAGATACCACTGGAAACCCCTGAACACCTACTTTGCCCTTCCAAGACCACCGTGAGGTGCATAATGTTAGTCCCGTTTTACAGATCGAGAAACTGAAGTGCAGAGAGGTGAAATGATTTGCTCGAGGGTATCCAGGGGGAGGGGGGAGGGCGGGCGGGCCCCCGGGGAGGCCGCAGCCAGGGACTGGAAGGCATCTCTCCCGCACCACTACCTCCGGCGTCCCCGCCACTCGCTGGAGCGTGGGCAGCGGCGAGACAAAGGGCCGGGGGCGGGGAAGAGGAGGCCGGAAGTGCGGCCGGGGGTGGGGGGGGCGGAGGCGGGAAATTTCCTCGCTGGCGGAGCCGGGAGATCGCGCCGACCTGGGTCCCCATCCAGGCGCCTCGAGTCCTCAGGCCGGCGACTGCCCCCTCTGAGCCCCAGTTCCCTCCTTGGTCAAGCCAGGCGAGGGCTTTCGAGGGGCTGGTCTAAGATCTGCTAGACGGCGCGCCCCGCCCTCAGCAAGCTCGCAGCAAAGGGGCAGCCTCTCCGGCCCTCAGTCTCCCTGTCTGTGAAGTGGGAACCCGCTCGAGGACGGCGCGGAACCCGGGAGCCCAGCGGCCGCAGTTAGGGTTGGCCAGCGAGGGGCGCCCCTCCCTCGCTCCCTCCGGCCGCGGTTTCCCCGCGGTCACCGCCCCCTCGCGGTTCCGAGGCGGCCGGGCGGCTACTGCGCATGCCCGGGGCGGGGCGCGGGGCGGGAGCGCGGAGCCGGCGCTGGGGACGGCGGCGCCGAGTCTGCGGGTCCTCCCGCCAGCCCGGCCGGAGGCAGCCGAGGCCGCTCGGGCGGCGGCGGCGGCGGCGGCGGGAGCCGGAGCGCATCTCGCCCAGGAGCCGGAGCAGCGGCACTGCCTGGTAAGCGCCGCGCCCACACCCGCTGTCTTTCCGGGCGGGCGGCGGCAGCCCCTTCATCCGCTCGCTGCCGCCCCGGAGCCGCTGTCCAGGGTCCTCGAAGCCCCCCGGCGGCGGGGCTCGGACACCTCGCGCGGCATGAGCCCGGGTGTGTGCGCGCGGCTGGGGGCGGTGGGTGTCTGTTTCCAGGCTCCTCGCCGGGGCGGGGCGGGGCGGGGCGGGGCGGGGGCGGGTCCCGCAGCCCTGGGCCGAACATCAGAGGGGCCCGGCGGGCCAGGCTGACCTGGCTGTGGGGTCGGCCCCGCGCCCGGCCTTGCCGCCGCCCGCTGGCTTTGTTCGGCATGGCCGCGCGGGAGGGGGTGCTTCCCGCCACTGGGGGGAGGGCGTCCTCCCGCGTTGATTCATCTTCCCCGGAGCGAGCTCAACGCTCCACTGGCTCCACTCGCACTACTGAGCACACTCGCCGTCACACAACCAGTGTGGCACACACTCCGGGGCGCGATCACACAACACCGCGTTCACGCACGGGCGCCTCATTTCCTCGAGTGAGGCCACAGGTCTACCGCACACACACAATGGCTGTTGGTCATTCCATTAGACTCATACACACGGCCACCTGTCACCCAGGGTACTGGGTGGGAGCCTTGCGTACACACCCAGGCACAGCTACGCACTCAAACCAGCCATCGCGGATCACAGCATGGACATCAACTCAACAATACTCCCTGATCACAACACACTCGGGGCCACCCTGCCCTGGCCTGCTCACCCCTGCTCATGGGGTCCCTTGCGTACCCAGATACCCTGGAGTAGACTGCCACCCTTGTGCACACACTCCCTCTTACACACACACTCTGTCTCTTAGCGTGCTGCCCACTCCCACCCACACTGGCCCACGTTTGCACGTCCATGAACGTCCATTCTTGCCCTCCTATGTATGTATGTATGCATGGTCTGAGGGCCGTTTCTGGAAGCAGGTCTGGCTAACACCTTTAGATTCCTTCTCCCCCCACACCCCCGAGCAGGAGACTTCGCTGCTCTGAGGGCACTACGAGAGAAGGGGACGAGGGGCAGCAGACTGAGATTCTCAGACACACTCAGATGCCTGACGAAGTCCCTCAAGCCTTTGTTGGTCTTGTCAGCACAGAAGAGGTATTTGCAGGTGCTTGGCAGTTCTGGCCCTGTTTATGGGTGTAAGGATAGCTCCATGCTGGAAAGAAATCCTAGAGGGAAAGGAATGGCTGGCCAGGTCTCTGTGGCCTGAATGGGCAGCCACAGGGGCTGCTGCTCTCCCTGGGAGCAGGACACAGGCACCTGTGCAACACCCAGATAAGCTCTCCTAGGAGTGAGATACCCACAGGGTCCAAGTAGCCCCCACGAGGCACAAACACACAGGCCATTCTGCACATGCAGGGTGTACATACGCACAACAAGCTCTTCTTGAGCAGAACACAGGAGCCAGGTCCTGGCCCCAGAGTGGCCCAAGCTGGTACATACATCCACAAGCAGTCTGTTCACTCCTTTGCATGCCAGGTGAGCCCGCCTACATACCTAGCAGACATTTCTGCCTTCTGCCTCAGTCAGGCCACACTCAACCTGTTTGTGCCCAAGTGTACAGGCTCATCTGCTCATAGGGTGTGTGCGTTCCCACAGGTGGGGGAATGTATGCAGGGGGAGGGGAGCTCTTGCTTCTTCTACTGCATGCTCCTTGGCACTGTTGCTTGGGAGGAACCTTGGCCTGACCTCAAAAACCAGAAAGGGGGTTTTGAGAACCAAGTGTCAGGCCAGGTGCAGTGGCTCATACCTGTAATCCCAATACTTTGAGAAGCCCAGGCAGGAGGATTGCTTGAGGCCAGGAATTTGAGACAAGCTTGGGCAACATACCAAGACCCCCATCTCTACAAAAATTTAAAGATTAGCTGGGTGTGATGGCGCATGCCTATAGCTACTTAGGAGTCTGATGAGGGAAGATTGCTTGAGCTGAGGAGTTGGAGGCTACAGGGAGGTATGATTGTGTCACTGCACTCTAGCCTGGGTAACAGAGTGAGACCCTGTCTTCAGAAAAAAAAAAAAAAAAAAAAAAAAAAAAAAAAAAAAAGAGCCAAGTGTCAGTGTCCACGATCTTAGAAAGAACTCAGGTTTTGTGCTTGGGCACAACTGGCTTTGAGCTACAGCCTTCCCTCAGTTGTGTGCCCTTGGTCAAGTCTTGACCAAGTTGTGTGCCCCAGTTGTGTGCCCCAGTTGTGTGCCCTTGGTCAAGTCTTCTCCCTCTGACTTCAGTGGCCTCATCTGTGAAATGGGATGATAATGCCCCCCTCATGAGATTGTTGTGGGATCCAGATGATAAAAAGAGACTGAGACCGGGTGCAGTGGCTCATGCCTGTAATCCCAACACTTTGAGAGGCCGAGGTGGGTGGATCACTTGAGGCCAGGAGTTCAAGACCAGCCTAAACAACATGGTGAAACCCTGTCTCTACAAAAAATACAAAAATTAGCCAGGTGTCGTGGCACATGCCTGTAATCCCAGCTACTCGGGAGGCTGAGGCAGGAGAATCACTTGAACCTGGAAGGTGGAGATTGCAGTGAGCCGAGATCATGCCACTGCACTCCGGCCTAGGCAACAAAACAAGACTCGGTCTCAAAAAAAGAAAGACAGTGAGCGTGCTGGGCCCAGGTAATGGAGCTGGGTTCTAGTGGGGTAGTTGCGGGGAGAGAATGTGGGGCCTCAGGCCTGGGCTGCCTCTCAGAGAAGCAGCTCGAGGATCCTCAGGCCTCCCCAAGATCCAGGAAGGGCCCAGCAGAACTGTGAGCAGTAGAGCCTCTGGGAGTGGTCTTGGGGCAGTTCTGAAACCCAGGGCTGGCCTATCTCTTCCAGATGTAACTACATCCCCTCTCCCATTTCACAGATTGGAAAACTGAGACCCACGGAGTAGAAAAACTCACTCAGAGTCATAGAGGATGTCAATGACTAAGCTGGGGCTTGACCCCACATCTTTCTACCTCCCTGACCAGGCTCTCTGTCCCTACCCTGGACTTTATCCCATCTCAGAGGCTGGAAAATACAAGTTGGGGACGGGAAGCCTGGGGACTTTCAGAAGGGGCATGTTATCAGCTGAGCCAAGCTTGCCTCTTAGAACCTGTTTCTTCCTCTGGAAAACAGGACTACAACAGCTGCCTGGCAGGCGGGTGGGATTTGCACATAGTAAGGGCTCGACTTGTACAAGGTCACCTCTGCCTTTCATGGCATTGTGCTCCAGGGTCCACACTCAGGTGGCTACAGGCCAGGAGGGTAACATACATGAAGGGCCGGCTGTGAGAAAAACGACAGTGAGAATTCCATGATTGATGGCAGCAGACAGTCAGCCTCAGTGTCTAGGACACCGTGGGGAAGAGGGGGGATTGTGGCTGATTGGAGAGTACACCCCCATCTAAGGAGGCTGTCCCTTTGGGGCTCCAGCTGAATGTTGCCAGGCAGGAAGCACGCTCAGACTGCCAAATTTTAGTTTTCCAAGAGAAGCTGGAAATCTTACTGTCACATGAAATCTTCTAATGTTTAGAAGTTGATCGGTTAATTCCTTTTTAAAACTGATTTTAAAATGTGTTTAGCTCTGTGGGTCAAACAAGCCTGTCTGAGGGTCAGGTTTTGCTGGTTTGTGTCCCTGCTGCAGACCCTTTCCTCCCCTGCCCCCTCCTGGGAGCACAGCTGGGCTCTGACAGGCTGAGCAGATAAAAACAGGCCTTCCACAGACACAGCCCAGCCCTAAAGTGAGCAGAGTCAGGCACACCCCTCATTTTCTTTAATTCTCACTATAGCCCTGGGGGAGCAGGAGGTGGGTTCTTCAGGGTCCCCAAGGAGGAGAAGGGCGTTGCTTGAAGTCACAGAGCTGATAAGCGGTGGGCTGGCCTGACTTTCTGCCCGGGCTGCACCCAGGGAGAGGAGCTTATTGGCTGGGCTGGTGTGTGAGGACCCCAGGGCTGGGCTTCCAGGGCTGAAATGAGGGGTAGTGAGGGCCCAGAGCACCCTTCCTATATCCTTTGCTGACTCCTTCCAGCTCCAGCTAAACTCCCTGTACACCAGCCAGGCAGCTGTTGAATTCCTGTTTTCCAGAGAAGGAAACAGGCAGGCATGGTAGGCAGATCCTGGCCCTCACTGGAGCCTGGGCCCTTTCTCTCTCTCCCTGTCTCTGTTTTAAAGACAGTTTCTTGTTCTGTTACCCAGGCTGATCATAGCTCACTGCAGCCTCAAACTCCTGGACTCAAGAGATCCTCCTGCCTCAGCCTCTGGAGCAGGCAGGACTATAAGTACATGCCACCACACCTGGCTAATTTCTTTTTTTTTTTTAATTTTAATTTAAAGTTTTTGTAGAGACGGGATCTTGCCGTGTTGCCCATGCTGATCTGGAACTCCTGGCCTCAAGCAGTCATCCCACCTTGACTTCCCAAAGCACTGGGATTACAGCCGCGGAACTCCGCCCCAGGGCCCTTTCCCTTGACCATCTTCCCGGTCACCCTGGCTTATAACGTCCTTTTCCATAGGCCAAGGGCCAGATGGATCAGAGGTTGCAAGCTGGTGACCTAGGGGTCAAAGTTGGCTCATGAAAGTGTTTTGGCCGGGCATGGTGGACCATGCCTGTAATCGCAGCACTTTGGGAGGCCAAGGCAGCCAGTCACTTGAGGCCAGAAGTTCGAGACCACCCTGGCCAACACGGTGAAACTCTGTCTCTAGTAAAAATTTAAAAAATTAGCTGGGCATGGTGATGTGCGCCTGTAGCCCCAGCTACTCGGGTGGCTGAGGTACGAGAATTGCTTGAACCCGGGAGGCAGAGGTTGCAGTGAGCTGAGATTGTACCACTGCACTCCAGCCTGGGTGACAGAGTAAGACTCTGTCTCAAAAAAAAAAAAAAAAAGTGTTTTGTTTAGCCTGTATGATATTTTTTAAATTAGCCAATATTTAAAACATGGATATCCATGCTGGGCGCGGTAGCTCATGTCTGTAATCCCAGCACTTTGGGAGGCCAAGGTAGGCAAATCACCTGAGGTCAGGAGTTCGAGACCAGCCTGACCAACATGGAGAAACCCTGTCCCTACTAAAAATACAAAATTAGCTGGGCATGGTGGCGCATGCCTGTAATCCCAGCTACTTGGGAGGCTGAGGCAGGAGAATCACTTGAACCTGGGAGGCAGAGGTTGCAATGAGCCAAGATAGCACCATTGCACTCCAGCCTGGACAACAAGAGCAAAACTCTGTCTCAATAAATAAATAAATAAAATACAGATATCCAGATTTATGACTTAGCTAAAAAAAAATTTAGGAAACCTGGAGGCACAGCGGCCACATTCACTTCCCTGCTTAAATACTTCCAAGGGGCGGGATACAGTGGCTCACTAGGCGCTAGGTATAATCCTATTGTAGACACGAGATCCTGCTATGTTGCCCATGCTGGTCTGGAACTCTTGGCCTCAAGAGATCAAGGTATAATCCTATTACATTGAGAGGCTGGGGTGGGAGGATCACTTGAGCCCAGGAGGTCAAGGCTGCAGTGAGCCGAGATCGCGCCACTGCACTCCAGCCTGGGCAACAGAGTGAGACATTGTCTCAAATAAAAAGAAAATACTTCCAGGGTTTCCAGTGCCCTTAGGCTAAACCCCCCTCCTCCACCATGCCTCATGTGATTTGCTGCCTCCTCTTCCGCTGCCACCCCCTTTCCGACTCCACTCCAGCTCTTCATGGCTGGCTCAGATGGTAACTGCCTCAGAGGGGCCTTTCTTGACCACATGTCTAAACCAGCTGCCCACTCCTTTGTCTTCACAGCATCCATTATTTGAAATACTATGATTTATTTGCCACTTGTTTATTTCTCTCCTCCCAATCTTTCTGCATCTATAAGGCAGGGACCCCACATTTCTTATTCACTGCTGTATCCCCAGTCCCAAGAATAATGCCTAGAACATTGCCTGTGTGCTCAGTAAATGCTGAGTTAATGGAATGATTCCTAATTGGCCACAGCTGGCAGGAATTGAGTGCCGTTGCCCCTTTAGAAGGGGCCAGTGCCCTCTAGTTTGCCACAGTCCCCACCACTCCCTCTTGTCTCCCTCAGTCTGGGGATGTCAGGAGTCTTTCATCATCTCCCTTGTAGGAGAAAACAAATATTTGTGCCCATATCACTATCAAAAGGCCAAAGATGAAGATGGACTCAATTCACGCCACTCAAATCTGATGCCTGCCTGACCCCTGCAGGCTGGTGACCATCCAGTGATCCCACGAATTCCAACCAGACCTCTCCCGTGCTTCTGGCCTGCTTCCTACTGCCTCCTGGATGTCACCCCCCATAAGTCCCATGGGCACTCCAGTTCCACTTCCGAAACCCAGTGCCCCATGATCCTCTGCAAAACTGTTCCTCTTCCTGTGTTCCCTCTTAGTGATGGTCCCCCTCCCCCACCTCATAAGCCAGAGCCTGAGGGACCCAGTAGTGAACAGTATCGACTGTGTCCCCATCCAGAGACCTGAGGTCTGGCCAGGGACCCAGAGGTGTAAATGGCCAGATGCAGAGTGACATGAGCCTTGTTAGAGGAGGAACGAGAGGCTACAGGAATCCCCAGGAAGCTGGTAGCCAAACAAGGCCCACTAGAGGAGGAGGTGTTTTAACGGAGATCTGAAGGTGTAATAAGAGACAGCCAGGCAAGAAGGGAGGGAGAGATTCCTCCAGAAGAGGGTGTGTAGAGGCTGAGATGGTGGGGGAGAGAGAGAGTGTGTATCTGTGTGTGTACATGTTTTGGGGGTGGGAGTGGGTAATGAAAGATAAATCCCAGCACTTAAGTAGAAACATAGGGGCTTAGGAGCATATTAAAGAGCTGGACTTTACCCCAAAGGTAAGAGTGAGTCATTAAAGGTTTCTCTTTATTGTCCATTGGAAAAAAAAAGGACTATGTGCGCACATAACCACAATTTAAACATCACAAAGGGGCGCACAAAGAAAAGCTTCTCCCACCCTCAGATCCCCGCTCTTCCTTCTGAGAGGCAGTCACTGCTAAAAGTTTTATAGGATTCCATCCAGAAATTCTCTTTATAAATAAACCCATCCATGTGTGTCCTTTTCCTTGGCTACACGCGTGGGATCCCAGTAGCGATGCTGTCCCCTGGCCTTTTTCAATTAATTTATCTTGGGTGCTTTCCCTCATTACCCCACACCTTCTAGTAGCTGCCCGGTGCTCTGCGTGGTTGTCCCACAGTTCACAGAACCTGCCTCCCCGTCTTGTTCTCATCACTAGCCATGCCCTTGTGTACCCCAGGACCATCTTCAGGACCCCAGGTCTATCTTTAGGACCATGCTTAGAGGTGGGCTTGGTGGCTCAAATGCTATGCGCGTTGTAAACTTTGATAGAAATTGATAAATGTCCTTCTAAAAAGATTACAACTAATTTACATTTCCGGCAAGAATGAGGAGGGTTTTGAGCCAAGGAGGGCACAGGTGGCTCTGCATCTTAGGTCATTCAGTCATTCATGGAACAAATCCGTATGAGGATCTTCCTTGCTTACTGCATGTGTGCCAGGTCTCAACTCTGGGATATATCAGATAGCACAGCAAAGTCCCCACCTCCTGGAGCTGGCATTTTAATGAGAGCAACACACCACAAGCAATAAGCGAATATATGTGATATGTCAGATGGTGACAGGTACTATGGAGGAAAACTGATTAGAATAAGAGGGTGGAGAATGCCAGCCAGAGCTGGGGAGGAGGCTGTTTTACATTGCATGGGTCAGGGAAAGCCTTGGGGAGCCGACCATGCAGATATTTGGAGAGAAATCTCTCCATGCAGAAGAAGCAGGCAGCGCCAAGGCATGGAGGCAGGCGTGTTCAAGGCACAGCAAGGCGCACAGCGAGGCACCCCGCGTGGCTGAAGCAGCGTGAGGGAGAGGGAGAGCAGCAGCAGAAAGGGCAGAGGAGGTGACGGGGCCTGAAGATGCAGGGGCTTCTGAGCCATTCTAAGGAGTTTACTTTTACTTTGCATGGGATGGGGAGACACTGCCTGGTTCCGAGCAGAGGGGTACATGATTTGTCTCGGGTTTTACTAAGATCCCTCTGGCTGCTGTGTTGAGAATAAGCTATGGGACAAAGGAAAAGGCAGGGATAATCCAGGTGAGAGATGGTGGGGGGTCCAGATGGCAGTAGCCAGATGCTGGATATATTCTGATGGTAACTCCATTATGTTTTGCTGATAGACGTGGGGTGTGAAAGTCAAGGGTGATTAGGGATTTGGGCCTGAGCATTAAAGCCATGGTTTTGGAGCAGGTTTGAGGGGATCAGGAGCTCTATTTGCTTTGGCTACTGAGTGTGTAACGGAACGGGGTTGCTTGTAGGCCCAGCTGCCTGCTGGACCCTCTTCTTGGATATCCCCCAGGCACTACAAACTCAGCTTGTCCAAAAACGGATCTCCCTCTTTCCTACATCTCCTGCTCAGCACCATCACCCAGCAGCCCTCACCCTAGCCAGTACCCTGCAGACCGCCCCTGCCATTACCAGTACAGCCTGTTGGTACCTGTCAGTTTTCCTTTGGATTTCTCAATTCTGCCTTTAACTACCATCTCCAGGACCTCTGCTGTGCTGTCTCTCATCGAGATTCCTGCAACTGCTCAGGGCCTGTTGCAGAGAAGGGGCTAGGTGAATGAATGAAGGATTAAATGGATGAAAGATTAAATGAATGATTTACCAGCTTCCTCACAGGTCTTGGCCAACCCCTGTGCTCCTTCAGCCCAGCCTCCATACCATCCCAGAGGAATCTTTGAAAACACACACATCTGACTATGTCCCTTCCTTGACTATAAACCATTCACAGCTCTCCAGGGCCTACATAGACATAAACTGGTGGCCTACAGGCAAGTCTTGTTTGGCCCACATAATGTTTGGGTTTTTTTTTTTTAAACCTTTAATTAATTAGCATATTTTACATTAAAGTCTGGATTTCCCACTTAAGCAACTGGAAGAACTGGGACCACCAGGTTGCATTTCTCCAGGATAGCACTTGGCTGATGGGAGTAGTGGTTCTCCCTTTATTATTTTTATTAATTTTTGTTTTTGTTTATTTTTGAGATGGAGTCTTGCTCTGTTGCCCAGGCTGGAGTGCAGTGGCACGATCTTGGCTCACTGCAACCTCTGCCTCTCAGGTTCAAGCAATTCTCCTGCCTCGGCCTCCTGAGTAGCTGGGATTACAGGCGTGCACCACCACACCTGGCTAATTTTTTTGTATATTTAGTAGAGAGGGGGTTACACCATGTTGGCCAGGGGGGTCTTGAACTCCTGACCTCTAGTGATCCGTCAGCCTCAGCCTCCCAAAGTGCTGGGATTACAGGCGTGAGCCGCCGCACCCGGCCATCCCTTTAGACAGAGCATGTGCTCTCTAATTTGCCATAGTCCCCACCACTCCCTTTTGTCTTATACCTAACCCACTTCCCTCACTTAAATTACCTACTTGACCCCCGGACATCAGAGCTTGCAGCCCCTGGCCTAGAGGACAAAAGCATAACTTCTGGATAGTGTGTTGCATGGGGTGGGGTTGAACAGAGAGGGGCGATAGTAGGCAAAGTTGAAAAGTTAGGCTGTGGGTGGGGCGCAGTGGCTCACGCCTGTAATCTCAGCCTTTGGGAGGCTGAGGTGGGCGGATCACCTGAGGTCGGGAGTTCGAAACCAGCCTGACCAACAAAATACAAAATTAGCTGGGCGTGGTGGCGCATGCCTGTAGTCCCAGCTACTTGGGATGCTGAGGCAGGAGAATCGCTTGAACCCAGGAGGCGGAGGTTGCGGTTGCGGTGAGCTGAGATCGCGCCATTGCACTCCAGCCTGGGCAACAAGAGCGAAACTCTGTCTCAAAAAAGAAAAAGAAAAAGAAAGTTAGGCTGTGGCCAAGTTGTGAAGGGCGTTGAATGCCTTGTAAGACGTCTTTATACAGAGGGCCACTGGGAGCAGTGAAGCAGGGGAGTGACATGCTTGGGTTTGTGTTTTTAGTCTAGGTCCTCTGGACAGGTGGGGACCAGATGGGACACAGCACTCAGTGAGGAAGGGGAGAAGGCAGAGTCTCCTCCCCCACTGAGCTTTGGGAAGTCTGAGTCAGCTCTCTCTCTGTTTCAGAACCAGACAGCAGCCTTGGGTGCAGGCGTGGTCATGAGGGCAGATGGACACTGCTGAAGACCCGGCCTGGCTCCAGCTGCTTCAAAAGGATTCCAGCCCCCCAGGACCCCGACCCACAGCCTTCTTCTGCCCACAGGATGGGAGCCTGGGGGCTGGCAGCTCGGCTATGAGGGATTACTGCCCCTCCCAGCAAAAGGCAAGCCCTGCACCCCCCAGGCACACCCCTGACCAAAGCCCAGGCATGGAGTCTAGACACAGAAGCCCCAGTGGGGCTGGGGAAGGGGCCTCCTGCTCTGACGGCCCCAGAGGGAGCCTGGCCTGCCCCTCCCCAACCTGCTTCTCTCCCCAGGAGTCACCCTCCAAGGAGACATTGGAGGCACATGGAGCCTCCATCTCAGGGACACCAGAAGCCACCACGTCTGGGAAGCCAGAGCCTGTGTCCTCCGTGAAAACTGAGCCCAAATCCTCAGATGACAGAAATCCCATGTTCTTAGAGAAGATGGATTTCAAGTCCTCAAAGCAGGCCGATTCCACTTCCATAGGAAAGGAGGATCCTGGGTCCTCACGGAAGGCAGATCCCATGTTTACAGGAAAGGCAGAGCCTGAAATCTTGGGAAAGGGGGATCCTGTGGCTCCTGGAAGGATGGATCCCATGACTGTAAGAAAGGAAGATCTTGGATCCCTGGGAAAAGTAGATCCTTTGTGCTCCAGCAAGACGTATACAGTGTCACCGAGGAAGGAGGATCCTGGGTCTTTGAGAAAGGTGGATCCTGTGTCCTCAGACAAAGTGGACCCTGTATTCCCAAGAAAGGAGGAGCCCAGGTATTCAGGAAAAGAGCATCCTGTGTCCTCAGAAAAGGTCGCTCCTACATCTGCAGAAAAGGTAGATCTTGTATTGTCGGGAAAGAGAGATCCTGGGCCCTCGGGAAAGGCAGATCCCATGCCCTTGGAAAGCATGGATTCTGCGTCCACAGGAAAGACAGAGCCGGGGCTCCTGGGCAAGCTGATTCCAGGCTCATCAGGCAAGAATGGGCCTGTATCCTCTGGGACCGGGGCTCCTGGGTCCTTGGGAAGGCTGGATCCCACATGCTTGGGGATGGCAGATCCCGCATCTGTGGGAAATGTAGAAACTGTGCCTGCCACAAAAGAGGACTCCCGGTTCCTGGGAAAGATGGACCCTGCCTCCTCAGGAGAGGGGCGTCCTGTGTCTGGCCACACGGATACTACGGCTTCAGCAAAGACAGATCTCACATCTTTGAAAAATGTGGATCCCATGTCTTCAGGCAAGGTGGATCCAGTTTCTCTGGGAAAGATGGACCCCATGTGCTCAGGAAAGCCAGAGCTCTTGTCTCCTGGACAGGCAGAGCGTGTGTCTGTGGGAAAGGCAGGAACTGTATCCCCAGGAAAAGAGGACCCGGTGTCCTCCAGAAGGGAGGACCCCATATCTGCTGGAAGTAGAAAGACATCATCTGAAAAAGTGAATCCTGAGTCTTCAGGAAAGACAAACCCTGTGTCTTCAGGTCCAGGCGATCCCAGGTCCTTGGGGACAGCAGGTCCCCCATCTGCAGTAAAGGCTGAGCCAGCGACGGGGGGAAAAGGAGATCCCCTGTCCTCGGAGAAGGCAGGTCTGGTGGCCTCTGGAAAGGCGGCTCCCACAGCCTCAGGGAAGGCCGAGCCCCTCGCGGTGGGCAAGGAGGACCCTGTGAGCAAGGGAAAGGCAGACGCTGGCCCCTCTGGACAAGGGGACTCTGTGTCTATAGGTAAAGTGGTCTCAACTCCAGGAAAAACAGTCCCGGTGCCCTCGGGGAAGGTGGATCCCGTGTCCCTGGGAAAAGCAGAAGCTATCCCAGAGGGAAAAGTGGGTTCTCTGCCTCTAGAGAAGGGGAGTCCTGTTACCACCACAAAGGCGGATCCCAGGGCCTCGGGGAAAGCACAGCCGCAGTCTGGTGGCAAAGCAGAAACAAAGCTCCCTGGGCAAGAGGGCGCTGCAGCACCAGGGGAAGCAGGGGCTGTGTGTTTGAAAAAGGAGACACCACAGGCCTCAGAGAAGGTGGATCCTGGATCCTGCAGAAAAGCAGAGCCCCTTGCCTCAGGGAAGGGAGAGCCTGTGTCCCTGGGGAAAGCCGACTCTGCACCTTCCAGAAAAACGGAGTCCCCATCCTTGGGGAAGGTGGTCCCCCTGAGTCTGGAGAAGACCAAGCCGTCCTCCTCCTCCAGGCAGTTAGACCGCAAAGCCCTCGGCTCAGCCCGGTCTCCCGAGGGTGCCAGGGGCAGTGAAGGCCGCGTGGAGCCGAAGGCCGAGCCCGTGTCCAGCACCGAGGCCTCCAGTCTCGGCCAGAAAGACCTGGAAGCCGCTGGGGCCGAGAGAAGCCCCTGCCCAGAGGCCGCAGCGCCCCCGCCGGGGCCGCGGACTCGCGACAACTTCACCAAGGCGCCGTCGTGGGAGGCGAGCGCCCCGCCGCCGCCGCGCGAGGACGCGGGCACTCAGGCGGGCGCGCAGGCCTGCGTCTCAGTGGCCGTGAGCCCCATGTCTCCGCAGGACGGCGCTGGGGGCTCGGCCTTCAGCTTCCAGGCGGCGCCGCGCGCGCCCAGCCCGCCCTCGCGCCGAGATGCGGGCCTGCAGGTGTCGCTGGGCGCCGCCGAGACGCGCTCCGTGGCCACTGGGCCCATGACACCTCAAGCCGCCGCGCCGCCCGCCTTCCCCGAAGTGCGGGTGCGGCCCGGCTCAGCGCTGGCGGCCGCTGTAGCGCCCCCGGAGCCGGCTGAGCCCGTGCGAGACGTGAGCTGGGACGAGAAGGGCATGACGTGGGAGGTATACGGCGCCGCCATGGAGGTGGAGGTGCTGGGCATGGCCATCCAGAAGCATCTGGAGCGACAGATCGAGGAGCACGGCCGCCAAGGGGCGCCCGCGCCGCCGCCCGCCGCCCGTGCCGGCCCCGGCCGTTCGGGCTCGGTGCGCACCGCGCCCCCAGATGGCGCCGCCAAGCGTCCGCCCGGCCTGTTCCGCGCGCTGCTGCAGAGTGTGCGCCGGCCGCGGTGCTGCTCGCGGGCGGGACCCACGGCCGAGTGATCTGCCCCCATTTTGTACGCCCGAGTTTCCGACCTTCTCAGGCTCCCTTCTTGATCACAGGCCCCTAGAAGGGGTCCCCTCTGCGTGCCACAGGCCTCCGAGGGGTTGTGCAGCCTCTAGGGCTGTTGCGTCCCCGTCTTTCCAGCCCCTCCCATCACAAATACAGAAGAACCCCTTCTACCAAGCTCCCTCGTGGCCACGAGGCCACGAACCCGGCCAGCCCTGACGCCCCACTGTCCCCTCACAGCCCTCAGCTCTACTCCCGGTCACACTGGGCGACCACGGGGGCCTGCTCAGCACCCTCACCTCCCACCCCCTGAGAGCTGGGGCAGGCTCCTGAGATGTCTAGACTGGTGCGTTGTGGTCTCCGGTGGGGCCAGATCCCCAGAACAGGGAGAGACTGCATACAAGTCTGAGTGGCAGAAGCTTCAAGTGGGTGAGGATCGGTGTGTGAGACCCGCGAGTGGGCACGTCTCTGAATGTGAGGTCTCGGGCAGCACGTGAGGTAGAACGAGTGTGAGCGTCTCCACGCAGTGGCTGGCCCCGTGGCCGGGGCGTCTCTTGCATGCTGTTGGTGGTCCTTCCCCAGTTCCTATCTCCCACCCGCCTGGTTCCAGCCCCATCCCCTCTCCCACTGAGTCACAGGTTTGAGATTCCCAGAGAGGCCAAAGACAGCTACAGGAAGTACCCTGGGGGCTCAGCTGAGAGAGAGTCACAGAAAGGCCAGAGGGTCTCAGGAAGGTCTGGAGGTCACAGCTGGGCTCACAGAAGCTCTTGGGCCCTGGCATCCTGGGTGACCGGTGTTCTTGGGTATTGGGGACAGGACAGAGAGCTCATTCTATAACCACAGTTGTCTTTTAAAGGCCACCCTCTCCAGCCCCTTGTCCCCCCTGTGCTGTGAGCCCAAGTCCCTTGTGACCACTCAGTGTCCCGTCCCCACCCCTCCAGCCGCAGTTTTTGGCTACAAACTGTCACAGTATACATTGGTAATAAAATATTTCCCCAACCCCTGTCTGCCGTGATTGGCCAAAAGCAGGAGGCAGGGCAGCGTCATATATTTTCATCTCCAGGGAGACAGGTGCAGTTAGGGTGTGGTAGGGCCTCTTCAAGGGGTCCAGAAGAGTGGGGGCCCCTGTCACAGGTCCGTGGTGTCCAGGCCAGCGTTGGTGTAGGATGGCCCCTCCAGCTGTCCACTTGCGCCTGCCTGCCGTCCTAACAGGACCACGCTCAGGGGCTCTGGATCTGGCTCTGGTGGTGTGTGTGGTGGCCTGTGCTCCTGCAGGGAGAGGGAGAGGAGGTGTGAAGGGCAAGGCAAGGTGGGGCGAGTGCCCCAGGCCCTAGGGGAGTGGATGGGCTTCAAGCTCACGACCAGTGGTTCCTTGGCAGGGGTCCCACCCTGCCCCTCCTGGGGCCTCTGGTCCAGGCTGTGTCCCAGAGGTGGCCCTGGCTAATGGTGATGCAGATTAGGGGAGGGGGAGGGTGTGGCCTGGGGGATTCACTCTTGCCTTTGCCCTGCCCACCAACACTGCGGCACTCTGCCGTTCAGCCCAGTTCCAAATAATGCCAGGCCCTGTGTCCTGTGCCGAGGAGCCAGCCCAGCGCAGTTCCTGCCCCCTGTACCCCACGGCAGGCACCGTGTGGGTTGAGGTCCATCCATTACCTCAACTACCCACTGAAACCCTCTGAGGGAGGGAACATGTCCTCTCTTCACAGATGTGGAAACTGAGGCTTAGAGAGGTCTACTGGTGAAGAGGGGCAGACCACTGGTCTTGCTGGTTCAAAAGCGTGTCCATGATGTGACACTGCCCTGGTTGAATTTGACGTCTCTTTTTGCTGCCCTCAGAGGGACGCTGCCCACAGGCTGGTCCCACCTGCAGTTTATCATGGCACACACTCACTCATCTCTCCCGCCCTTCCTCTTCCACCTCGCCATGCGACATGCTGTGTGCGTGCACACACACACACACCCTCCTGTGGAACAGCCAGGCCCCCAAGCTCAGCTGCTCTGCTACAGAGACACCCACAGGGCCAGAGCCCCGGCCACCACCGCCCTCCCCAGGGCACTCCAAGGGCTTTTTCCAGACTGGGGCTGTTCTGGTCCCTAGTAAACAGTGGAACATCCGAGGGGCCCCAGAGGGGCTAAGCATTCTGCCTGTGTTCCTCAGAGCCCTCAAGACAGACCCCAAGTGGAGAGCTGCAGGCTCAGTGCCACCCACGATAACATGACCTGGTGCCAGAGACCAAAGACCTGGGTTCTGGTCTGCCCCTGCCCTGCAAGCTGTCCCACTTTGAGCAAGTCAGCACCCCTCTCTGGATGTGAATTTCCTTGCTGGTTACTTGGGGAGGTTAGAGTGATAATCTCTCCAGCCACTCACACCTACCACACAGACGTGTGGAGCTTAGACAAGTCAGGGCACCAAGAGATTCCTGGGAAAAGGATCCACCTGCGCCACCCCAGCCATGGGAGAGCAGGGGGCAGACAGCTCCCAAAAAGGCCCCATGCCTCGTGGACCTGCCCAGAGACCCGCAAGACTCACTGCTGCAGGAGACAGGGTGGAGCCTTGGGCAGCTTCTCAGAAATATAGCAACCCCCTGCCCTCCCAGGACATAATCTGAGCAATTTTCTGGCTTTGAAGACTTTCCGTGACTTGTCCCCACACCCTCTCCAGACCCTTCTCCTACTTCCCTGCCCCTTCCCAGTCCACAGATCCAGCCACACCTCAGGGGGTCCTTAACTCCACTCCCTTGGGTTAGGAGCAGCATCAGCCTCTGCCACAGGCCATGCACTCCAGTAGACAAGACTGTTCCTTCGCCTCAGTTCCCCAGACATGTTCATTAGAGTTTTGGCCACTAACCATCTCCTAGCATCTACCCAGAGGCCTCCAGCGCTGCCTGGCTGCCTGCATTACCACCCACACAACCATACCTGGGGCCTGTCCGGAGGCCTCTGTGCCAGATTCCCTGTACCGTGTTATACCTGGGCCCCTGTGCGACATTCTACCATTTTAAAGACCAAGAGAGGCTTCGGTTGACCAAATCTTTCCATGTAAGGAGTCCTCAGGGAAAACAAATTCTGAACCATGAAGTCAGGTTGGGAGCCCCTAGTGGCCTGGGACCCAGCCAAGCCCAGAACCCAGACTGGGGGAAAATGTGGGTGGATCCCCCGCAGCACCACACACAGAACCTCAGCCTATCACAGCTCCAATGGGCCTTAAGCGTCTCCTCCAGAGGTGGCTTTCAAAGTGGGAAGGAGAGAGGGCAGTTCCTTCTGTTTCCAGAGAGCCACCCCTCCATGTCCAGGACCCACCCCACACTCAGCCTGCTGACCCGCTCCAGCGGTGTCCACCGTGCCTGCACCTTAGCACCCCCTGAGCGGCTTTTACAACAGGTCCATGCCCAGGCTCCACGTGGGCCATCAGAATCAGAACTCTTGGTCTTTAAAATGCTAGAATGTTGCACCCATGGACCTGGGTGTGACCTGGGCATCAGTATTTTTCAAGAGCTCCTCAGGTGCTTTTACGCAGCAGGCCAGTCTATGAACACTTGATCTCATCCAACCAACTCACCTGTTTAACAGATGGCGGTACTGTTGTTTATTTGAACCCATCTTCTCTCCTTTGCTAGACTATGCTGGTTCACCTCTGGATCTGCTTTCCCACCCCCAGCTGGCTTTCCTATAACGGCCATAAAGGGCTGGAAGCAGATTGGTGAGCACTTGTTTGTGCCAAGTGGTTCTTATGCCTGCCCTTATTTAATCCTCACAATGGCCCTGCATGGTTGATGTTCCCATCCCCATTTACAGGTGAAAAAACTGAGAAGCAGAGGCAAGAAGTCTCTCAGGGTCACACAGTGAACCAGTGGAGGAGCAGGAATTGGACCCCATTCCAAAGCCACAGGGCTTCCTGGGGCCTGGTGCAGAGAAGCAGAACTGCCCATGTCAGTAGCAGGTCCCTTGAGCTCTGCCCTGAAGCCTCCACAGAAGAACCCAAGTTGGAACCTCCAGGCACCAATTCATCCCCCATCTTGCCTTGATTTCCTGACTGTTCTTGTCCACATCCACAGAGTTGTCGTCCAGGGAGTTGACGCTGTAAGAGAGGTGATGGAGCTCAGGTGTTGGCAGGCCCAGTCCTCCCTTACTGTGCCCAAGAACCACCACCTCCATCACCACCATCACCATCACCACGACTACCACCATCATCACCATCACCACCACCACCATCATCACAACTACCATCATCACTACCATCAGCACCATCACCATCACCTCAACACCAACACCACCACCACCACTATCATCATAATCACTATCACCACCACCATCACCATCACCTCAACACCAACACCACCACCACCACCGTCATCATCCATCATCACCACCATCACCATCACCTCAACACCAACACCACCACCACCATCATCATCATAACCATCACCACCACCATCACCATCACTACCATCACCATCACCACCATCACCTCAACACCAACACCACCACCACCACCATCACCATCACCACCATCACCATCACCACCATCATCACCTCAACACCAACACCACCACCACCATCATCATTGTCATCATCACCATCATCACCACCATCACCATCAGCACCATCATCACCTCAACACCAACACCACCACCACCATCATCATTGTCATCATCACCATCATCACCACCATCACCATCACTACCATCACCATCACCACCACCATCACCACCACCACCACGATAACTGCCACCACTACCATGACCACCATGACCACCACCATCACCATTGCCACCACCATCACCCACCACCACTACCATCACCACCATCACCTCAACACCAACACCACCACCACCACCACCGTCATCATCACCATCATCACCACCATCACCATCACAACCATCACCATCACCTCAACACCAACACCATCATCACCACCATCACCATCACAACCATCACCATCACCTCAACACCAACACCATCATCACCACCATCACCATCACAACCATCACCATCACCTCAACACCAACACCACCACCACCACCACCATCGTCATCATCACCATCATCACCACCATCACCATCACAACCATCACCATCACCTCAACACCAACACCATCATCACCACCATCATTGTTGTCATCATCACCACTGTCACCATTGCTACCATCACCATCACCTCACTACCATCACCACCACCACCATAACTACCACTACTACCATGACCACACCATCACCATTGTCATCACCATCATCACCACCAACACCATCACCACCACCACCGTCACTACCTGTACCACCACCACCACCTAGCCTGGCTGTGAGGGGCACTGCTCACCTGACAGAGTCCAGGTCATTGGAGGGAGAGAGGTACTCCAAGCCCAGGTCTTTGTTGGGGAGGTTCAGCATGGGGTTGGCTCTGGAGAGAAAGCCTGGTCAAGTTGCCTGGCCCTCAGCCACCCCACCAGGCCTCTTACCTACCCTTTGACCCCTGCTCACCGCTCAGTGTTGTACATGTTAGTCCCTGGGATGGCAGGGGCTGAGGGCATCACCCCTGCTGCTGTCTTCCTGGCCTCCTTGGCAGCCTTCATAGCTTGAAGCTTCCGGTTGTAGCTGTGGGGAACCGGAAGAGGGGTCACACTGTTGCTGCACACCTGTTGTGTCCCCAGTGGAGGCCCTGAGCCTGTGGCTTCACAAGATCCCGGGAGGTGAGTGTTAGCTCTATTTTACAGAGGGTAGAAGTAAGAGCCAGAGAAGGCAAGTGATTTGCCAAAGGTCAAATAGCCAGTGACAAGGCTTGAAGTCAAGCCCAGATACGGCTGCTGACTCTATACATGTTGGAAAAAGCAGCAGCATCTATTAAACGCATAGTGTGTGCCAGACGTCTAGCTGGGTGTGAGATGCATGTTACTTCCTTGAGTGCACTGAGGAATCAAGTCTCATGCCCTTTCACAGATAAGGAAACTGAGGCCCGTGGAGGGGAGGTGACTCACCCAAGATCTCGCACTGGGTCACTGGGGAGTGAATGCATGTATACCTGTGCCTAAGCCCCAGCTCCTTCTACCCCTACCCCCCGACGTCTTGGGTGGTGGGAGAGGGTGAAGGTTGGAGACACGGGGGCAATGGGAGCCGCACCTCTTCCGCACACACACGAAGGCCATGGTCATGATCACAAGGACCAGCAGCAAAGCCACTCCCAATCCTATGATGACACTGATGAGCTGTTTCGACAGGTCTGACTCCTGGCTCTCCTGGGAGCCCTGGAGAAAGATGAGTGTGAGGGAAGCACACTCGTCTTCAGCAGCCCCACCTGCTGCCCCGCCCTGCCCGCACTCACCAGCACCACCAGCCCCAGCTGCAGCAGCTGCGTCAGCGAGTCCTGATCATTCCGGATCATCCTGGCCACAGAACTCCACTTAGGCCCGAGGGACCTTGGCACACCCCAGGCTTCCTGCTCACCCTCACACCTGCCCCAAGGGCAGCCCCACTCACACACTCAGCTCATCAAGGGTCAGGGCTGACCCATTGGGGAAGACAAAGTAGGCATCGAGGTAGGAGTGAGGTCGGGCCCTGGAGCGGGACAGAGTTGAAGAGTCAGGAGCCTGGATCACCCAGCAGGCCCCTCCTGCTACCGCTTCTCCCCCTCAACCCCACCCCCAGGCCTCTGGGCACTCACCGAGCTGCAGAATCTATGTCCTGAATGTCCACAATGTATACTGTAGTCCTGGTTGCCTGGGTAAGAGCCCTGCAAAGAAGGCAGATGTCACAGAGGCCTGGGGTCTTAGCCTGGGCCTGTGGCCAGGGCTGTGCCAGTGGGATTAAGAATTGTATGAGTGAGAAAGGGCACCTCCTCTGGACAGCTCTGTTGGCTGAGTAGGTAGCATCTCTGTGAAAATTACAAAAGGAAATCCCTTCCTCTGGGGCTGGGTGAATAGCTTAGCAAGCAGAGTGCCCTTGTGCAACACACAGCCTTCACAACTGTACACGGCAGCCTTGTTCCAAGGCTTCCCTCTGCCCTTGGCTGGGTATGGGCTTCTGGGGACATGCAAGAACGTCGTGCAGGTGAAAGTACAGGGTTGAAGACAGGGACAAGGTCAAATGTGGGTCAGGAACAGGATTGAGAGACATCCCATCCAGGTTTTGTCGGGGACCAGGCTCCTACACCCTGTTCTTCCTACCCCTCCCTCCGGGGCTCCCCAGACCTACGCATTAATCGCCTGTCTGTTGGCGCCCACCTCCTCCTTCGGTGTGGAGAACTGCAGCCGCGAGCGGTAACTCTGGTCCACGGTGAAGAGCTGGGAAGGGGGTGTGCAGGAGATGAGGCACCAGGGACCCTGGGGGCTGGCAGAGGGCGTTGGGGGCTGGAGGTGGGACCAGCACTCACATTCAGGGTGGTGGTGGCTTCCAGGAAAGGACCCAAGGAAGGTCTGTCCCTGGCCTGGACTGTCACTTGGTAGGTGCCTTGGAGAGTGGAGTCGAGGCTGGTCACCGGCCTGCGGAAGGCGGGAGGCGCAGGTCAGTCTTGGAACCCAAGCTGAATCCTCAGGACCCTTGTAACCTCCAGGATGGGGGACTTGCTGCCTGAAAGCTCCTATCGGGCCCCTCCCCGCAACCTCCCTCCCGGGGCCGCCCGCAGTTACTGAATGCTCCCAGCGAACACGTCGGCCTCGGAGGAGGTGAAGATCGAGAAGACACCCTGGAAAGGGATGGTGGCCCCGTCCTTAGAGATGAAGTCTACTCGGAGGATGGAGAACAGGATGACGCCATTGTTCCCTGAATCATCGTCTCTGGCCTGGGAGCAAGAGTGGACAATATCTGGGGGCCCAGCCAGGCCAGGCATCCCTCCACCCCAGCAGGGATCAGAGGCAAGGGTGGCCTGGGAGGCTGGCCCTCACCGTCTCTATCCGCCATCCCCACGCTGCCCCGAATAAGCAAATGGTTTCAAAAAACAGTGTGTCTGCTCTGCAAATCCAGATTTGGACAAGAACCTGCCCCTGTTCCCCAACTCCAAACAGATCACTGCCCTAAGTCCCTCACATGTGGAAATCCTGCCCTGCTCCCCCTACACCCCTCCACTGCCATACTCTCTCTCTCTCTCACACACACACACTCACACACACAGTCTCTCTCACATACACACCCTCTCACACACACACACTCTCACACACTGTCCCACTCACACTCAGTCTCACCCTAACACACACTTACACACATATGCACACACACTCATACACACCCTCACACACACTCTCACACACTGTCCCACTCACACATACACTCACTCACCCTAACACACTCACACACATGCACACACTCATACACACCCTCACACACTTATCCTCTCACACTCACATACACTCACACACCCTCTCACACTCACACACTTATCCTGACACACACACTCACACCCTCACTCTCTCATGCACTCACCACACACTCAATTCACACACACTCACACAAATACACTCAATTCACACACATTCACACACTTGCACAGTCACACACATACACACCCACAATCACCTACATACCCACACACTGTCACACACATTCACATACACTCACTCACCCTTATACACACCCTCAGGCACACACATTCACACTTAGACACACACACACTGGCGTGCACACACACAGCGATGCTCAGATTTCCTAAGCACCTCCCCTGGGATCCCTCATTTCCGTGCGGGGAGTACCAATTCCCCTAGTAGACCATGAAGCTGGTTGGGGAGGGGACACAAGCATTTTTATTCATTCTAGTGCCTTTTAGAGAAAAATTTAACCAGCACACAGAGCTTCGAGTTCACCAACGTTACTGTTAAGGATAGGCCAACACCAGTGCTTAGGTCTTAAAAAGGAATCTATTTAAAGAAAATTGCCGTGGCTAAACTCTTGACATTAGAACCAAATTGGCAGAAGATTGGGAAGCTGTCTTAAGACTTGAAAGTCACACAGTCACTGTCTCTAGCATGAACGTCAACCTAGAGAGGGAGAATTACTATCCCCATTTTACAAGAGGAAGCTGAGGCTCCGAGAGACCCTGTCCTTACACTCGGCTCTAAGTGGGGAAGGCCAGCCCTGTCCATCTCTTGTACCCATGTCCTTTCCAAAGCATAGGGAATGGCACCCACATGCCACCTTCTGGGAACTGCTAGCTTCTTGTTGAACAGGGAAACGGAGTCCCAGAGAGGGTAGGCAGCTCTCCAGGTCAGTAAGAAGCCCAGCCAGGCCCAGCCCTCGGTGGTGTGGGAAGCCTCATCCCCACACGGCATGGCCACCACCCCTAATAAACTTGCCACATCCAACACCATAAACAGCTGAAAGCCTTTTTATGACTTGGCTCCAATAATTTATTTATTTATTTATTTTTTTTTGAGGCAGAGTTTCACTCTTGTCGCCCAGGCTGGAGTGCAATGGCGTGATCTCGACTCACCGCAACCTCCGCCTCTCGAGTTCAAGTGACTCTCCTGCCTCAGCCTCCCAAGTAGCTGGGATTACAGGCATGCACCACCACACCCAGCTAATTTTGTATTTTTTAGTAGAGATGGGGTTTCTGCATGTTGGTCAGGCTGGTCGCAGACTCCCGACCTCAGGTGATCCACCTGCCTTGGCCTCCCAAAGTGCTGGGATTACAGGCTTGAGCCACCGTGCCCAGCTGGCTCTGAGAATTATTTAATGACAAGGCACTGGCTTAATTTACAATTAGCTATGAGTTCTCTGTATTACTCAAGAATTCTGGTATAGTAAGAAATATCTGGACTGCAAGTGGTATTTACGGTCATGACATTTTTATGAATGCTACATTTATCACAGTGAAGTTTGATTACATTGATTAGACAGGTGTTGGTTTCCCTTCTGGGGTTTTCTTTTTCATGTGTTGGAGCCCATATATTTTCTTTCTACCATGGAAGGCCTGAAGGCCTCAGCCCTGTGTCCCCTGGGGCTCATATGACCAACAAAGGCTGGAGCCAAGAACTTACCCGGACAGAAGCCACCTCCCGGTTGGGCAGCACGAGTTCAGGGATGATCACTGCAGGTGTGAACGGGAACGGGGTCAGCGGGGTCGGGACACTGCCCACCTGGACCAAGGCTGGTCACGAGCCCAGCTCAGGGCTCATCCCCCTAAACCTGCCCTCAACCTCTCTACCAAAAGAGACCCCTATTACAGCCACCACTGGGCCAGTAGTTAGCAAGTCATCCACCTCCCATTGTCACAGGTGAGGTCACAGGCCCACAGGACCATGCGGAAATGGAGGCCCAGAGAGGGAAGTCCTGGCCCAGGGCCAGACATTAGGTCGGACAGAGCTGGAATGAAAACTCCAGTGTTGGCTGGGCATGGTGGCTCATGCCTATAATCCCAGCACTTTGGGAGGCCAAGGCGAGCAGATCACTTGAGGCCAGGAGTTCAAGACCAGTCTGGCCAACACAATGAAACCCTGTCTCTACTAAAAATACAAAAATTAGCCAGGTGTGGTGGCGCATGCCTGTAGCCCCAGCTACTCTGGAGGCTAAGGCATGAGAATTGCTTGAACCTGGGAGGCGGAGGTTGCAGTGAGCTGAGATCGTACCATTGCGCTCCAGCCTGGGCGACAGAGCAAGACTCCGTCTCAAGAAAAAAAGGAAAGAAAAAAGAAAACTCCAATGTCCTCTCCTATTGCAGCCCTAGGAAGATGCAGGATTAGAGGCCTTCCCCCCTTTCTAAAGGCTCCCCCTGGGGTCCAAGGAGGGTCTGTCGGGGTTGCTCAAAGGCGGCCTTATGGAGCAGGGGTATGGTGTGTGAATGGGGTTGCTGCTTACCAAAAGTCTTATTCTCAGGCAGAAAATAGGGTGCATTGTCATTCACGTCCTCAATGGTAATGAGGAGGCTTCCTAGGAGACAAGGTCAGCTGGCTTTGGCTCTGGGCAAAAGCTTGACCCAAAGAGCCTGGGCCTCAACCCTGTGCCCCACAGCCTCAACCCCATGCCCCGCAGCCTCAACCCCGTGCCCCGCAGCCTCAACCCTGTGCCCCGCAGCCTCAACCCCGTGCCCCGCAGCCTCAACCCCATGCCCCGCAGCTTCTCTCCCATGTGTTCCCCCATGCTCAGTCCCCTTCCCTGCTCCTGACCCAGAATGCCTGATCGGTCTTCTCTGGCCTGTGTGGGTGGGAGTATCATCCCAGACCTCAGAGCAGATAAGCAGCTTGTCAAAGTCACACAGCAATAGTGGTGGGCCAGGATTGGGCCCAGCCTAGGTAGATCTCACCTATGACATTATACTGACACATTCTAACTATATAAGCTGGTTGTTTAAATACCCACTTTCTGCCTCAGTTTCCTCATCTATAAAATTGGATAGGGAACACCTACCCCATGGGTTGTGTGGAAGTGGAAAAATTCTTACAAGGTGCCTGGTGTAGTTCTTGGCTGTCATAAGGACTCAATATATGCTAGTTGTTAATGTGATTATTATTGCTATTTGGTGTCAGAAGTGGGATACAAGCACACATCTAGCTCTGCAGTGTTATCTTTCTTTCACAGCATCTTGTAAAATAATGGCATTAATTTGATGCTACTGCATGCCAGGCACTGCAATAAATGCCATACATCCATATTCTCATTGAATCTTCACAGCCCACCCCACTGCCCAACTCCACTGGACAGATGGGGAAACTGAAGCTTGGAGAGGGTTTGGGACTTTCCCAGTATTTGCAGCTGGAAAGGGCTGGAGCCAAGATCTGAGCCCAGACCTTGTGAGTTCCAGCCCAGGGCTCCTTCCCGCGGCCCCTAAGCTATGGCCTGCCAAGCCCTGCAAGGACAGGCTGCCTTACCATTGTTGCTGTAGGCCTGGAAGCCGGGGTCCGTGGCTAGGTCACAGGCCCGCACAACCAGCGTGACCAGGTCACAGGCCTCGTAGTCGATGGCTTTGCTCTGGTTGATGTACACAGAGCCGTTGGCCGCCACTGAGAACCAGCCCCAGCATAGGCTGCCCACATCGACCCCGGCCTTGGTGCAGAGAATGTTCACAAGCTGTATCTCCAGCTGGGCACTGGTGTCCACATCCGAGGCAACCACCACAGCCACCTGGCCGTGCTGTGAGCCATTCTCAGCCACACGGATGCCCCGGAGTGAGGCTACATCCAGGGTGGGGGGATTGTCGTTCACGTCTTTCACATTCACGCAGACGTCTACTATGGTCTCACCCCCCTGGGGGTCTGGGTTCTCAGCACTCACTGTCAAGTTGAAGACGGGCTGTGTCTCGTAATCCAGGCTCACGTCCGGGGGCAGCCGGAGGTAGCCCTCAGCCCACCCAGCCCCCAGCACCAAGCCTCGGATCATGAAGTAGTTGGCACCACTCCCCGACAGGCTGAAGCTGATGCGGTTGTTGGCTTCCGTCTGGTCCGCGTCCCAGGCCTTCACCACGCCCACTAGCACTCCTGTGGACAAGGGGCAGAGCTCAGAAGGACTCCTGACCCCGCCATCGGAAGCCTCCTCTGCCCTTGCCTCTCTTGGAACTCGAGGTCCACCCTGACAAAGCCACACTGGGTCCCAGCCGCAGTGTCTCTCCTGGCCCAGGGAGCACATACCTGGATCCTCCTCCTTCACCGTAAAGTTGTAGCTGGACTGATTGAAGATGGGCAGGTTATCATTGATGTCCTGCAGTCAGAGACAGGTCTGAGTCCCCGGGATCCAATCTCACCCTCCCCAGAGCCAATCCGAGAAACCAATAATCCCTGTGCTCCAAGGCATGGACTCTACTAGTGCCTCAGACCTCACTGCCCACTTCCCAGATGAGGAGACAGGCTCTGAGAGGAGGGAACTTGCCCAGGTCACACACCCGGGGTTCAGGGACCTACAGTGGGACCTTGGCCTTACACATCCATCCTCAGGAAGCCCTGCTTGCTTCCTGTTTCTCTGACCACAGCTCAGGACTTGTTCTAGACCCTGCTTTCTAGAAGCACAGTTCTGGGTCCCCACCTGCGACCCTGCCTGGCCCAGCTTGACTCCCATCTCTCGGATTTATTGTGTTGGCACCAATACCATTATATGTCCACAAAGGCTCCAAGGCCCACACTTTCCCTTGTCCCCTCCTACCCCTGTCCCTCCTGCACACAACTGAGCCCACAACACCAGCTCTGTGCTCAGTCAGAGCTGGGCTCCGGGGACCTGCAGAAGCTTAGACCTGCTCCTGCCTCAGACACCAGCTGTTTTTGGCTCTCACCTCTGTGGCCAGCCCTAGCCCACTGGGCACAGCTGGAGCCCTGCAACTATTGTCACAGCCTGGAGGTGACTCTGCCCTCCCCTATGTCTCCTAACACTGGCATGTGCTTGGGGGATGCCCTGAGCACTCCAGCCCTTCCCAGGTTTGTGGGTCACATAACAGGTGTTTGTTTTTCTGAATAACCCTAGAATGAACATTTGGAAGACAACATTCTTGCACCTTAGCTAGATGTCTTTTCTGCTGCTAATTTCCCAGCGATGACATCATTGGCTCCACGCACAAGACCAGCTGCATTCTCAAGGTCACCCTAACTCACAGGAGTGGATAAGAGCACTGAGTCACATCTTGCTCCACCTCTGCCTCATGTGTGACCTTGACCTCTCTGGACCTCAGTGTCCTCATCTGCAAAATGGGGTAGTAGTCCCCACTAATAGGGCAATTGTGAGGACGGCTCACAGGGGTGAAGAAACCTGTTCACTCAGGAAATGAAGTTCTCTCTTTGCAGCCCTCCCACCCTAAGGACAACCAGCAAGTCCTCATTCTGCTTCGTTTTCTTCATTTCTGAGGTCTCACTCTCTGACCCTTGTGTGAAAATGGCACATCCCAGTCCAGGGGACACAGGGCTGCTATGTGCAGTGGTGCAGGCTGTGCACTGCACAACCCTATGGGGTGCCATCCACATCACAGACACGGCAGAGGTGCACATTTGTCACAATACTGTTCCAGAGGAAGGTGCCTTGTGGGCTGGTGGCAGCCTTAGAACCAGACTGATTGAAGTCAAAACCCAATTTTGTGACCCCCAGGCAAGGTACTGAACCTCTCTGTGCCTCAGTTTCTTTTTTTGAGACAGGGTCTTGCTCTGTCTCACAGGCTGGATTGCAGTGGCATGATCATAGCTCACCGCAGCCTCAACCTCCTGGGCTGAAATGATCCACCTGCCTCAGCCTTCCAAGTAGCTGGGACTTCAGGTACATGCCACCATGCCTGGCTAATTTTTTATTTTAGTAGAGATGGGGTCTCGCTATGTTGCCCAGCCCAGTCTCAAACTCCTGGGCTCAAGCAATCCTCTCACCTTGGCCTCCCAAAGTACTGAGGTTTTTGGCATGAGCCACAGCAACTAGGCCCGCCTCAGTTGCTCAATCAATAAAACGGTAATAAACCGGGCTCAGTGACTTATGCCTGTAATCCCAGCATTTTGTGAGGCTGAGTTGAGAGGGTCGCTTGAGGCCAACAGTTCAAAATTGGCCTGGACAATAAGTGAGACTCTGATTCTATGAAAAATAAATTTTAAAAATTAGCCAAATTAGCCAGGCATGGTGGCACGCATCTTTAGTCTTAGCTACTTAGGAGGCCAAGGCGGGTGGATCGCTTGAGCTCGGGAGTTCAAGACCAGCCTGGGCAACATGGAAAAACCCCATCTCTACAAAAATAAAAAAATTAACCAGGCATGGTGGCATATGCCTATAGTCCCAACTACTCAGGAGGCTGAGGCAGGAGGATCGCTTGAGCCTGGGAGGTTGAGTCTGCAGTGAGCCATGATGGCACTATTGCACTGCAGCCTGGGTGACAAAGGGAGACCCTGTCTCAAAAATAAATAAATCAATAGATAAATAAATAAAAACAAAATGGTAATAACCATCCCAACCTTGGCGGATGCCCTGATGTGCAATAGACACCAGCAATGCTGATTTTCACCCCTTCCCTTTGCTTTTCAATGGTGGCAGGGAGACAGGAGGGTTTCAGGTGGGACTTTATGAGTGACAATTAGAGCTGATATTCACTGATACTGTCTATAGGTCAGGCACTCTACCAAGCACTTTCCATTCATTAACTCACTTAATCTTTAACCTTTTTCACCCCCGTTTTATAGATGAGGAGCCTGAGTGCCTAGGGAGGTTGAGTAATTGCCTGGGGCCATACGAGTGAGCGGGATTGTAACCCAGGCAGGCTGGCTGCAGAGGGCAGAAGTGTGACTCAAGCTGGAGGGGCTGGCTATCGGCTTGGGAGGCCCCCAGGCCCATCCTGGCTAAGCGAGGCCTTACCTCCACAGTGATGGTGACATTGACTTTGGTGCCGAGGACAGGCTCGCCGCAGTCAGACACAAGCACTGTCAGCACAATGCGGCCCTCCAGGGCGGGGTCGATGGCCTCTCTGTCCAGGGGCCCCAGGTTTCTGAGGAGCCCTGTGTCAGGGTCCAAGGAGAAGTTGTGGCTGTAGGGGCCAGGCAGCAGGTTGAAGAGCAGACGGCTGTTGTTGGTGCCCGGCTCATCATTGTCGTGGGCCTGTGCACGTAAGCAGGGGTTGGTCATCGGCCATCGGCATTCCCAGCCCCCAGCCCCTCCGATGCAGCCGGACCCTCCTCTCCAGCGCTGGCCCACGCAGGCAGTCATCAGGCCTGGAGCCCCTGGGCCCATCTCCCAGCCCCAGTTTCCCATCTAAGAGGCTCAGGTCAGCAGTTTGCAAGAGCTTCTGAGATCTTCAGCACTGAGGCCATTCTTTCATCTCACAAACGGCCACTGTGGACCTACGTGCCCAGCCCCGTTCCAGGTGCAAAGAAAGAATAGAGCCATCATCAAGACAGGCCCTTTTGCTACTGATATTCTAGCAGGAAGGGGGATATGGGGGCAGGAAATTGTAGACAAAGAAAGTTTTAAACTCATAAGTGTGAAGTCCAGCAAGATTCTCATTTTCCCATAATGACTACTTCAGTGCTATATACATATTTTTTCTTTTTTCTTTTTTCTTTCATACAGTTTCGCTCTTGTTGCCCAGGCTGGAGTGCAATGGTGCGATCTCTCTTGCTCACTGCAAACTCCTTCTCCTGGGTTCAAGTGATTCTCCTGCCTCAGCCTCCTAAGTAGCTGGGATTACAGGCACCCACCACCACACCAGGCTAATTTTTTGTATTTTTTAGTAGAGATGGGGTTTCACCATGTTGGCCAGGCTGGTCTTGAACTCCTAACCTCAGGTGATCCACCTGCCTCAGCTTCCCAAAGTGCTGGGATTACATACAGGCGTGAGCCACCACGTCTGGCCCTTCTTTTGTTTTGTTTTGTTTTCTTTTTTTTCTTTCTTTCTTTCTTTTTTTTTTTTTTTGAGGTGGAGTCTCACTCTGTTGCCCAGAGTGGAGTGCAGTGCCATGATCTCAGCTCACTGCAGCTTCCAATTCCTGGATTCAAGTGATTCTCCTGCCTCAGCCTCCCAAGTAGCTGGGATTACAGGCATGCACCACCACACCCAGCTAATTTTTGTAATTTTAGTAGAGATGGGGTTTCACTATGTTGGCCAGGCTGGTTTCGAACTCCTGATCTCAAGTGATCCACCCACCTCGGCCTCCCAAAGTGCTGAGATTACAGGCAGGAGCCACCATGCCCGGCCGTCAGCGCTATATGTTTTAAATAGCTGATTCTTCACTCACTTTGTATGTCTGTGAGTGCGTGTGTGAGTGTGTGTGAGTGCGTGTGTGAGTGTGTGTGTGAGTGCGTGTGTGAGTGCGTGCGTGAGTGTGTGTGTGTGTTCCTGTCCTGCCAGGGCCCTGAAGGCATGCTTGGTTTGTCTTTGGGGTGAACCAGTGTGGATAACACAGCGGGTTCCTCTGTGCCGCCAGGCCTTTGCAGGTTCCGTTCCCTCACCCCGATGCCTCCCACACCTTCCCTGCCTGACTCCAGGCCAGGTTGGCGCTTCCTCTGGGCCTCAACATAGCACAGGTGACACCGCTGGGTGACTGTCTGACGCCCTCTTCCTAACTGGGAGCCGCCTGGGGGGCAGGAATGGTGGTGGACTCATCTCTGAGGACTCAGGGCCCAGCCAAAGACTGGGTAAGTGCTCAGCAAACGTGGCCTTGAATCCAGAGTGGGACCACTCCGACTCAACCAATTCTTTCCTTCCTCCCAGCCAGTCTCCACCTTCAGCTCCTCCATTTCATTCTGCTGGGACCTTGTTTATTACATGCATCCTTTGAAAGCAGCTGGAGATGTTTATTTTTTCCAAAAGCCTCATCCTGTCTGCTCATCCTTTGGTGCCCTGAACTCAGGCCAGTTAATTCATCAAGTGCTCCCTGGGGCTCATGCTGGGCACCACGGTTACAGCAGCCGACCAGAAATGCTCCTGCCCCAAGGAGCTCACAGACCAGGGGAGAAGTGCCAAGCAGGAAGGAGGAAAGGCCAAGGCTTCAGGGCCAGAGAGGTCTGGGCTGCAGCCCCAGCGCCATCATTTACTGGCTGTGTAACCACAGAAAATCACTTAACCTTTCTGAGCCTGTTGTCTCCTGAGAAATGGGAACTATTAGACCGCCTGCTTCCAAAGCTGGTCAAGAGATCAGGGATAGGAACATGCTCTGGAAACTACACAGTCCTGGAAAGACGGGAGGGCTCTGTGGCCACCAGATTGTCACTCTGAGGACCTGGTTTCTCACTTCTCACAAGATGCCTCAGGGGCGAAGCTTCCGAACTCCTCAGGACGAGGGAGGAAGCTACTCCCCGGTGTTTCTCTGGAGTCACTAGTGGGTTTTTATCTCATGAACTCTGTGAACCTGGCCACTGATCTCATTTCCTTTTTTGCTTTGGCCACCATGAAGCTCAGATCAGAATTTGCAGCTCACTCCAAGCAATTCTGTAGCACTGGGTTCTAATTTTACCTTGTGCCCTTTAACAAATGCCACCTTTATTTTCTCTTTTTTCTTATTTCTTTCATATTTTTATCTTACTATTTATCTAAGCCACCTCAAGTCCTTTTTGGAGTGGGGCAGGTGGGTAAATAAAAAAGAAGTGTATGTTTTTGAGGGATTTCTCTGGCAGGCCCAGTGCTGAGCTCCTCACACAAGTCATTAAATTATTCCCCAATGACCCTGAGAGTAAGGCTATAATTTTCTTCATTTCCTGGGAGGAAACAGAGACTCTGAGTGACTGTCTCAGAGCCACACAGCGGAGCCCCGACTTTACCCAGGGCCAGCATGCCCACAGAGCAGGCTTGGTCCCCTCCCCCAGCCTTACCCACCAGGTCCAGGCAGGCTCACACCTGGATGGTCACGGAGACATTGCCCTCCTCCTCCTGGACGAAGATGTTGTAGGAGCCGCTAACCACGGGTGCATTGTCGTTGATGTCCAGCAGGTGGATCTGCAGTGTGGTGGAGGAGGACAGGTTCCCGCCGTCTGTGGCCTGCAGCGTCAGGTAGTACACGGCCTGGCTCTCCCGGTCCAGCAGCTCACCGTTCCTCACCGTCACCGTCCCTGAGACGGGATCCACTTGGAAGAGGTCTGCCCTGCTCAGAGGGGCCAGGTTCAGCAAATAGAGACACAGGATGCCCATTTCAGTGTGAATTTCAGATATACAACAACAAATATTTCAGCATATCCCATGCAGTATATGCAACATATTCATTATTTCAAAAAGTCATTCCTTGTTTATCTGAAATTGAAATGTAACTGAGTGCCTTCGGTCTTCCCCAGCTATTCTATCTCTGCAGAGAGGCAGAGAGGTGGGCCTGGGCCCTGCTCACCCACCTGCCTACGGCCCACCCTGAGCCCTTACCCATTTCCTGGGAGCAGGCTGTAGGTAATTTGGCCCCACGCGCCCGTGTCTGGGTCCGTGGCCTGTGAGGCAGAGACATGGCAGGGTGCTGTGTGGAGGCGATGCACGCACCGCCACCCATGCAGCTCGTGGGGACAGAGCTGTCGTGCTTCCTCACACAAAGGGAGAATCCCCAGCACACTCAGATTCACTCATGGCCACCCCCATCTCACACATACACACACACACACTCTCACACTCACACATGCACGCCCGCTTGCTGGGACCCCACAGCCCCACTGTGTCCACATCACTCACGTGGATGCTGTCGGTGACCACAGAGCCGGTGGCGCTGTGCTCTGGCACCGTGAGGACGTACAAGCTCTGGGGAAACGTGGGCCTGTGGTCATTAATGTCTCTAAGGTGGATGGTCACCATGGCGACGGAGAAGTTCTGGCTGACGGAGTCTGTGGCCACAACCTGGGGGCAGGGGAGGAGGCAGCAGCTGTGGGGCCCAAGTGCCCCTCGGCTTCTGCCCCTGGCACCCCGGAGCAGCCCTCACCTGCACCGCCATCGCCGTCTGCCTCTCGTAGTCCACCAGCGCGGATACTCTCACCAGCACCTGAACGGAGGCTGAGCCCACTGCCCGCTCCGGGGAGACGCTGAAGGCTTCTGCATCGGGGCCCCCCAGCGACAACAGGAAGGTGCCATTGCTGCCCTGTAAAGGTGGGCTGTCTAGCAGGGACCTGTCCCCCTGCTCTGCCCACCTGCATCTTCCCCCAGTCCCCAGGCTTCTATCTCTGGATGCCCCGCCCGATGAGGTCCCATGGAAGGGGGCTCTCAAAAGACTGCGAGAGAGGGTGCAGGAGGCTGGGCTGGTCACCAGTCCCTGCAAATGCAGGCTCTGTAGAAGACAGCTCCCTAGGCACTGTGGGTCCCAGACCTGGGCTGGAGCCTGGACACACACCCCTCACTCCTGTCAGCTGTCCCTCCCACCCACCCTTCACATCCCCCACCCCCAGCCCCCACAGCAACACCAAACACCACTCACACCCTACGTCACCCCACTGGCCAGTGCCACCCTTCTGGCCAACCTAACCCCACCCGACACTGTCCTCCACGCAACATTTCCAACCCCTCAGTATCACCTAACACCATACACCCTCCAGAGTTACTCATCCTCCAGCGCCACCGTGTTACCCACCTCTCACTGCAGCCTCCACTTAAGAGTGCCTCCCATGGCTGGGCGCGGTGGCTCACGCCTGCAATCCCAGCACTTTGGGAGGCCAAGGTAGGTGGATCACTTGAGGTCAGGAGTTCAAGACCAACCTGGCCAACATGGTGAAACTCCATCTCTACTAAAAACACAAAAATTAGCTGGGCGAGGTGGTGCACACCTGTAATCACAGCTACTTGGGAGGCTGAGGCAGGAGAATCCCTTCCACCTGGGAGGCAGAGGTTGCAGTGGGCCAAGATTGGGCCATTGCACTCCAGCCTGGGTGACAGAGCGAAATTCCATCTCAAAAAAAAAAAAAAAGAGCACCCTCCCACCTCACACCCTCAGACCACTTGTCCCAACACTGCTCAGCCTCCCCCAGTTCCCAGGACTACCCAAATCATGGCCGCCCAATGCCAGGAGACCTCGCCAGCCACCCATCACCACGGACAATGATGTTCTACTCAGCATCATCTGACGTTCTACGTCAGCCTCCACTCAGCATGGCCTTCTATTCAGCCCCACACGGATCGCCCAGAGGATGATACTGCTTACCAACACAGGCTTCCAGAGAGCACCCAGCACCCCCATTCTCCGCCATCACACCCTGCACCACCAGCACCGCCACCCAGCACCACATGACACCGTCACTCGATCCAGGCTCCCACTGGCCTCCCCCAGCCACCCCCGCCCACACCCACGCCACCACGCCTGCCTTGTCCGGGTCGTAGACCACCATGGTGAGGTCATCGATGGGGATGCGGGGGGAGGCATGCTCGTCCACGTAGCCAGTGAAGTTCACTTGGGCCTCTTCGGGGGTGAAGGTGCAGGCTGGGAGGCTGCAGTTGTAAAACTCAGGTTTGTGGTCATTGACGTCCATCACTCTCACTGTCACCCAGATGCTCACCTTGGCCTCCTGCCCGTAGATGTTGAGGTGTGTCTCGGTGGCCTGAGGCACAGAGCAGAGGGCAGAGGGCAGAGAGCCAGTGCTCAGAGAGAGAGATCAAAGGCCAGAGGTTAGAGAGCAGGGTTCTGACAGGGGTGGTGGGGCCTTTGCTCACCGTGACCTGCAGCTGCACCTCCTCATCCGCCTCCAGCAGCTGCTCACGGTCCAGGGAGCCGTTGACCCTGATCACCCCATCTGCCCCGATGTCAAACCAGCCGGGCCGCGTGGAGTCTGGCAAGGAGAAAGGCGGAACAGCTGGAACAGCTGCTCCAGTGGCTCTGACGGAGCCCCAGGCCCATTGCCTCCAGGGACTCTGACGGAGACCCCACCCTGGCCCCGGCCCAGCCCTGGCCTGGGGACACCCCGTTCTCACAGGAGATGCTGTAGATCACAGGGTCATTGATGCCTTTGTCGCCATCCACAGCCTCCACCGTCAGCACCGAGGTTCCCTGGAATGGGGCCTGGTCAGTGCTCCTCAAACTTCCCCGCCTCCCGCCTCCACCCACACCCCACAGGTCCCCCGTGCACCTTGGCTGCATCCTCAGCCACAGAGGCCGAGTAAAACTCCCTGACAAACTGGGGGTCAAGGTCAGGCTGGTCCACCACGGAGATGGACAGGAAGACAGGCAGGGAGCACTGGATGGTGAAGGTGTTGTGGTACATGCCGCCCAAGTCCTGCGGGGAGATGGCCACCCGTGAGCCAGCGCCGTGGGTCCTAGGCCCGCCTGCCGGCACCCCCACTCACACAGGCCTTCAGCTCCAGCTGGTAGAAAGCGCTCTTGTTGTTGTAGCTGAGGCTGCCATTGAGGACTATGGAGCCATTGGCCAGGATCCGGAAGAGATGCTCGCTGTCCCCAGTGCTAGGGATGACCTGGGGCAGAGCAGACTTGGGTCAGGCTCCCTAGGGACAGCCCTGCACCGAGGACCCCACTCTGAGCAACGCAGGGAAGGTCCCAGCTCTGCCACTGACCAGTCACGCCACTGGCACCAGGTCATATGACCTCTCTGAGCCTCAGTTTCCAGCTCCAGGAAATGGGGCTGGTGACAACCCTCAGTGGGTTGAAAGGAGGATCCAATAAGATGCAGTCGGCCCTCCATCTCTGTGGCTTCCACATCCACAGATTTGACCAGCACAGATCAAAACTGTAGCTAGGCTCACTCACAATGGTTGCGTCTGTACTGAAGGTGTACAAACTTTTTCCCTTGCCATGATTCCCTAAACAATATAGCATAACATGCTATAGTTACATAGTATTTGCATTGCATTGGTATTGGAGGTAACCTAGAGGTGATTTAAAGCACACAGGAGGATGTGTCTAGGTTACATGCAAATACTACCCCGTTGCATGTCAGGGACTTGAGCAGCCATGGATTTTGGTGTCCTCAGGGATCCTGGAGCCAAGTCCCCACGGATACCAAGGGGCGACTATACAGTATGTGCCAGGCACGTGGTTGGTGCTCGGTAAATGGCGCTATCAACAGCAAGTCTGTTTCCATGAGAAATGGGTTTACACACCCCTTATTGTCTGTGGAATTTGGACAAGACCTGGGAGCAGGCGGGCAGGAAGAAGGGTCTGGTCTGCAGCAGGCACCCTCTTTAGGTAAGCGGGCAAGGCGAGGTTTCCGGGGAGGGGGGCTGGTGGCCAGAGGACGGTTTGGGGACCAGGGCTGGGCCAAGGCAGGACCAATGTCCCCACCCCAACGTTCAGGCCCTGTGGGTTGTCTGTGGAGATGCTGCCCCCTGGCGGTCACAAAGGCGGTCAGGGCCCCCTTCACACTCACCTTCTCTATGGAGTACACGACCATGCCTGCAGACCCCATGTCTTTATCCACGGCCAGCACGGAGAACACCACACTGCCCACGGGCAGGGTCTGCAGGGAGGGACTCGTCACCTATGAGCTCAAATCCAGCTCCTCCTCTCCCTTGTCCGTCACTGCCCCCCTGAGCTTCAGTGTCCTCAGCTGTGCACTCATGGGGACAGGGTTCCCCTGTCCTTCCCACCAGGGCTGCGGGTGGAAGGCACCTGGGGGTGCGGGGCGGCAGAGAGGATCTCCCTCCTCCCCTCCCCACACAGCCTCTCCACCACCTAAGCTGGCTTCTGATTGTCGGAGCCCCTCAGAACCAGGATGAGGGATCATTCTAGAGCCCAGCCTCACTGTGCCACTGCGCACTCAGACATCCCATGTGCTCTCTACAGCCTATAGCCATGGGTTTCAAACAGCGCCCTACAGAGCTGGAGGCTTCTTTGGGGAGTACTCTGCTCCTGGGCCCCTGTACACACCAACTCTACCTCCTTTTTTTTTTCCTGAGATGGAGTTTCACTCTTTCGCCCAGGCTGGAGTGAAGGGGCACGATCTCGGCTCACTGTAACCTCTGCCCCCTGGGTTTAAGCGATTCTCCTGCCTCAGCCTCCCCAGTAGGTGGGATTATAGGCGCCCACCACCATGCCTAGCTAATTTTTTTTATATATATTTTTAATAGAGACAGGGTTTCACCGTGTTGGCCAGGCTGGTGTCGAACTCCTGACCTCAGGTGATCCACCCGCCTCAGCCTCCCAAAGTGCTAGGATTATAGGTGTGAGCCACCGTGCCCAGCCACGACCTATACTTCCTAATGGTGGCCACAGAGATCTTTGAAAATCATGAATCAGACCACATAACTCTTCTCCTTCAAATCCCCCAAGAGTCCCCCCATTCTGCCCAGATCACAGTCCAGACTCCTTCGAGCCTGGGCTGCCACTCGCCTCTCTGACCTGACCTCCTCCTCACCCTCCCCCTCCAGCCACACTGGCTGAGCTTGTTCCTGCCTCAGGGCTTTGCACCTGTTGTTCCCCCTGCCTGGAGCACCCCTTCCTGGAGCATCCCCTGCCAGCTCCTTCTTGCCATTCAGGTCTCTCTGTTCAGATGCCCTCAACTCAGAGAGGCCTTTCCTGACCCTTCAACCTAAAGCAGTGCCCGCTGCAGTCACTTCCTTGACTTTGCCTTGTCTCGTGCTCATTGTGGGGCTCACCGCCATCTGAAATCCATTCTGCTTATTTTGTTTCATTGGTTCCTGTCTGTGGCCTTCCCTAGAAGGTGAGCTGCTGAGAGTAGCAACCAGGTCTGTCTTGCTCCCCAGGTAACCTTAGCACCTAGACAGTGCCGGGTGCTGAGGCATTGCATCAGAGCCTCTCACATGGCTGTCCAGACCACACGTGTCTGGCCTGGCATGGGGCCCCCCACCTGGAAGGTCTTTGCAGGCACATGGCAACGGAAGTTCAGGAGTGGTGGTATTTGCTGCCCAGTGACCATCAGGGAATCTCCTTTCCACCCATGTAGCTTAAGTGGAACTGTCCCCACTCCTCCCCCTTGCTGCGGGGAAGGCCCACGATGCAGACCCAACCCATGAGAGCCTTCCATACCCCTAAATTAGCTCAAGGATAGCACATGACCTAAAATGAGCCAATGAAAGTCAGCCCTGGGCTTTGGGCTGGAAAGATTGAGAAAGAGACGGTCTCCTCAATGTGAGCCTGTACTTTTTAATTTTTTAATTTTTTTATTATTTATTTATTTATTTATTTATTTTTGAGATGGAGTTTTGTTCTTGTTGCCCAGGCTGGAGTGCAATGGTGCAATCTCGGCTCACTGCAACCTCTGCCTCCCAGGTTCAAGCAATTCTCCTGCCTCAGCCTCCTGAGTAGCTGGGATTACAGGCATGTGCCACCACACTCGGCTAATTTTTTTTTTTTTTTTCAGTAGAGACGGGGTTTCTCCATGTTGGTCAGGCTGGTCTCCAACTCCCGACCTCAGGTGATCCGCCCACCTCAGCCTCCCAAAGTGCTGGTATTACAGGAGTGAGCCACGGCACCCGGCGAGCCTGTACTTTTATCACCACATGAGAGACTTGCCTCTCTTCCCCCAGGATGGAGGCAATAAGAGAAGCAGAGCTGAGAGGAGGAGAGAAACTCAAATCATATCTTGATGTGATTTGAGTACCTGGATCCAGCCATGCCTGAAGATATGATTTCAAATCAAATTTCACGATATGATTTGGCTCAAATCAAATCAAGATATGATTTGAGTACCTGGATCTAGCCATGCCTGAAGTCTGAGGTACCTCTAAATTTTTTAGATACACGAGGCTGGGCGCAGTGGCTCACGCCTGTAATCCCAGCACTTTGGGAGGCCGAGGCGTGCGGATCACGAGGTCAGGAAATCGAGACCATCCTGGCTAACACGGTGAAACCCCGTCTCTACTAAAAATGCAAAAAATTAGGCGGGCGAGGTGGCGGGCGCCTGTAGTCCCAGCTACTTGGGAGGCTGAGGCAGGAGAATGGTGTGAACCCAGGAGGCGGAGCTTGCAGTGAGCCGAGATCGTGCCACTGCACTCCAGCCTGGGCAACAGAGTGAGACTCCGTCTACACAAAAAAAATCAACTCCCTTTTTTTTTTTTGCTTTCATCACTGAAAGAATTCCTAACCTGACTGATTGCAAAATATTGCTGTAACCAGTTTGTGGGGTTACATCCCCCTGGCTTTGGTTCTTGAAGCTGCCCCTGCTAGGAGAGGTTTTTCCCAACTCTGAATGCCCCACTGACTGTCTCTGGCTCTTCCTACTCTGAGAAGCACTTTGGGATGCCCCCTGCCCCACAACCACATTAAGGCAGGTGTCACCTCGTTGATGCTGGTGGAGAAAGCGGTGTTCTGGAAAACGGGTGCGTTGTCGTTTCTATCTTCCACAATCACCAGCATCTCCCTCTGCACCTGCAAGTGAGAAAGCCCAGGGGACCCCAGAAAATAGGATTTAAAACACCAGAAAAGTTGCAAGTATCGTACAAAGAGCTGGTGTCCTTCATCCAGATCAACCTACTGTTTGGTCTCTCTTTCTCTCCATATGTTTTTGGGGGCTTTTTTTTTTTTTTTTTTTTTTTTTTTTTTTGTAGAGACCAGGTTCTCTCCATATGTTGTTTTCTGAACCATTTGAAAGTAAGTTGCAGGCATCATTAGTTAATTTTTTTTTTTTTTTAGACAGAGTTTCATTCTTGTTACCCAGGCTGGAGTACAATGGCGTGATCTCATCTCAATGCAACCTCCGCCTCCCAGGTTCAAGCAATTCTCCTGCCTCAGCCTCCTGAGTAGCTGGGATTACAGACATGCACCACCACACCCAGTTAGTTTTTGGTATTTAGTAAAGATGGGGTTTTACCATGTTGGTCAGGCTGCTCTTGAACTCCCGACCTCAGGTGATCTGCCCGCCTTGGCGTCCCAAAGTGCTGGGATTACAGGCGTGCACCACCACGCCAGCAGTTAATTTTTTAAATATAAAATATGCCAGCCAGCCAGGCGCAGTGGCTCATGCCTGTGTACTTTGGGAGGCCAAGATGGGAGGATCGCTTGAGCCCAGGAGTTCAAGACCAGCCTGGGCAATATGGTGAGACTCTGTCTCTACAAAAAATTTTAAAATTAGCTGAGTATGGTTGGTGAGCGCCTGTAGTCCCAGCTACGCTGGAGGCTGAGTTAAGAGGATTGCTTGAGTCCAGGAGGTGGAGGCTGATGTGAGCTGTGATTGCACCACTGCACTCCAGCCTGGGCAAGAGTAAGATCCTAACTCAAAAAGATAAAATAAAAAGTTGGAAAAAAGTGCCTGTCCTATCACGGGAATGTGCACGTTCGCTTTGTTTGCCATAGTATAAAGCTGTGAACAACTATGTGGACACCAGAGGGAACCAGCTTAAGGGCAGTTCCCACCATAGATATAGACGTTACAAAAATTGGGGATTTGTAAGACCCAGAGAGAGCTCTAAGCTCAATCGCTGAGTGGGCAAGGCAGCTTTCAAGACAATATAGACAGCTGGATTCCACTGGGTTTCAAAAAATGCACCAAGAAGTACATGGAGGCATGTACCTCAGCGCTGAGAAGTGTCAAAGCATACAGTAACGGTCAACACTTCAGTGGGAGTGAGCTGGAAAGGATTTTCCAAGGGGACTTTCGTTTTATCTGTAATTTTTTTTTTTTTGAGACGGAGTCTCGTGCTATCACTCAGGCTGGAGTGAGGTGGTGCAATCTCGGCTCAATACAACCTCCACCTCCCGGGTTCAAGCGATTCTTGTGCCTCAGCCTCCTGAGTAGTTGGAATTACAAGCGTGTACCACCATGCCCAGCTAATTTTTGTATTTTTAGTAGAGATGGGGGTTTCTCCATGTTGGCCAGGGTGGTCTTGAACCCCTGACCTCAGGTGATCTGCCCACCTCGGCCTCCCAAAGTGGGAAATAAGAGTGTAGTTGCAACATATTCAGCCAAAGCAGTTGAGAGTGATTTTGCCTCTGGAGCCCTGGGGTGGAGAGGTATTTGGCACTTTTCTAATCAATATTTATATACATTAATAATACATTTAGGCCGGGCGTGGTGGCTCACGCCTGTAATCCCAGCACTCTGGGAAGCCGAGGCGGGCGGATCACAAGGTCAGGAGATCAAGACCATCCTGGCTAACACAGTGAAACCCCGTCTCTACTAAAAATACAAAAATTAGCCGGGCGTGGTGGCTGGCGCCTGTAGTCCCAGCTACTCGGGAGGCTGAGGCAGGAGAATGGCGTCAACCCAGGAGGCGGAGCTTGCAGTGAGCCGAGATCGCGCCACTGCACTCCAGCCTGGGCGACAGAGCGAGACTCCGTCTCAAAAAAAAAAAAAACATTTAATTTACAATTAAAATATAACCAATATATTTATATGTAAACAAAAAAGCCCTCATATGATATAAATAATATATTTATGTAATTTAAATAAATTTTAAAAATACTAAAATCTTGGTAATGTCATATGACAAAGAAATGAACTAGTATAATCTCGATATAAATAAACATTAAATTCACTGTTAACTGGGGCACCGTCCGCTTGCCGGAGGTGGGGACACAATCAGGAATGGACTCTCGCAATCCCTGTCTACCCCCCTGCACCTCCCAACTCACCTGGATGTAGGGGTCGCTCACGGAGATGGTGACTTTGAATGTGTAGAGTGTCTGCAGCAGCCAGAGAGAAGGGGCCGGTGGTGAGCCCCCGCTGGGTGGGAGCACAGGGGGTGCCGCCACCAGGACGCGGGCTCCCAGGGCCCTCCCAGCACCCCCTCCGCGTCCCGTGCCCTCTCCGGCTGATGCTCTTTACCTCGTAGTCCAGAGCGCTGGCCAGCTTCACTTCCCCAGTTTTCGGAGTGACAGCGAAGAAGTAGGCATTGGGGCCGCTCATCCCATAGGTCAGAGGGTCATTGTCCTGGTCTTCCGCTACCAACCAGAAGGCCTGGGCACCTGGGGATGGGACAGGGGCCACCCAGGGTCCACAGCCACCCTTTCAGTGCTGGTCTGGCCAAGCTGGCTGTGAGGCTGGGCTGGGCGCCTGGCTGCCCTGTACACAGGCTTGACTTGCCATCTGGGACCTCCCCAACCATCAGCCAAGTCAGCAGCATCCTGATTTCCCTTGTGCCCACTGACTCGATGGGCACTGGACACAGTGCAGGGGGCGGGGGCTGTACCCAGGCATCTACCCCTCCCCTTGCCAAGCCTGTGGCCCTGCCCTCTCCAGAATACCGAGTTTCCGTGACACAAGACTAGACGTGGCTGGTGTGAACCTTTCCAGCTGCAGCATCTGGGTGCAGACTAGAGCTTTGGAGAGCCTTCCAGGACACCCCCTTTCTGCTCAAGTGAGCCAAAGCTGTGTCCAGTCTGCTGCTGGCCTCCTGAGAGCCCTAACTCTTGTACTGCATGCCTGGGCACAGCAGCAGGCTGGTCGCCCACTCCCTAGCCTGAAAGGAACTTTTTACAGATTCATCAAACCCACCCTATCCCTGAGCCCCCACCTCCTTTACCCATCCAGCCTCTGCTCCGACACCTCCACTGGCCCCGATATTCATTAGCAAGGACTTTCTTCTTTTCATGAAGATGCGTTTCCCTGGAGCTCCGCCACAGGGCTCTGAGGGCTTCAGCCACTGGCATGGGAGCCTACGTCCCCTGATACTTTCGTGGCCCACAAGAAAGTTGCATTTCTTTTAAAAGCAGAAGGCCAGGTATGGTGGTTTACATCTGTAATCCCCGCACTCCGGGAGGCTGAGATGGGGGATGGCTTGAGCCTAGGAATTTGAGAGCTGCCTAGGCACATAGCGAGACCCCCATCTATACAAAAAAATTTAAAAATTAGGCCAGGCGAGGTGGCTCATGCCTGTAATCCCAGCACTTTGAGAGGTGGAGGTGGGCGGATCACTTGAGATCAGGAGCTCGAAACCAGCTTGGCCGACATGGTGAAACCCCGTCTCTACTAAAAATACAAAAAATTAACCAGGCCTGGTGGCACGTGCCTATAATCCCAGCTACTGGGGAGGCTGAGGCAGGAGAATTGCTTGAACCCGGGAGGTGAAGGTTGCAGTGAGCTGAGATCGCACCACTGCACTCCAGCCTGGGTGACAGAGCGAGACTCCATCTCAAAAATAAATAAATATAAAAATAAAAAATTAGCCAGGTGTAGTGGTGCACAGTGGCTCATGCCTGTAATCCCAGCACTTTGGGAAGCCGAGATGGGAGAACTGCTTGAGCCCAGGAGTTTGAGACCAGCCTCAGCAATGTAGCAAAACCCTGTCTCTACTTTAAAAAATAAAATATTAGCTAGGCATGGTGGCACATGCCTGTAGTCCCAGCCACCTGGGAGGCTGAGGTGGGAGGATCAGTTGAGCCCAGGAGGTCGAGGCTGAAGTGAGCATGATCGCACCACTACACTCCAGCCTGGGGGACAGAGCCAGACCCTGTCTCAAAAAAAAAAAAAAGTCCTGTGCACTCCTCCCTCTCCAGCCTCCATGGGATAGACATGAGAATAGCACTTGCCTTTAGGGAGCAGAGATTGACTAGAACTGGACACAGGGAACTTTCTGGGGTGATGGAAATACTTTCTCTTGATCAGGGGATTGCTTGCACAGGTTTTGTATTTGTCAATACCCCTTGGTGTCTCTTGTTTCATCTGGCAGCTTTCGACATTCCTGGATTCCATTTTGCACTGCAACAAAGGCTGTGGCTTGTCCCCCAATATCCACTTGTCCCCCTTTTCTGAGAACAATGGAGCCCCAGATTTTGAGCTAGGCACACGGCCAACCAGAATGAAGGCCACATTTGCCAGGTTCCCTTGCAGCTAGGCGTGGGTCTGTGGCTTAGTTTTGGCCAAAGAGACAAAAGCAGAAGCAATGTGTGTAAAATCCAGAAAGGAAGAAGCCCTCTTGTCCCCTTCCTCCTTCTGTGACTGGAATGGTTTCTCGTCTGAGCCATCCTGGCCCATGTGGGTGGGACCTGTGCCTTAGGGAAGTCGGGCCACTGAGCGGGAAGAAGGCTGCGTGACCCCCGCCCCCTCAAGCCCTGCAGGGAGGGCAGCCTGATGGGACATGCCCCCACAGCTCCGTCCGGGCTCCTGGGCGGCCACGAGGGGCGGTAATTCACCTCCGCCTTGTTTGCATCTCTGTTATTTGGGGTCCCAACCAACCCGGCCACCTATGGTTTCTACTTCCCCGATCTATATCCTGCCTTCTGGGAATGTGGTATCTAGGCCCCCTGGCTCCTTCCAAAATAATGTTTCCCAAACTTCATTCGTTCCTGCACCGCTGCCATGACCTTTGCTGTGACTTTTGCCGTGACCATTGCTATGTCTGTGTTCTGTTCCTGGTGCTCATTCCTTAAATTGACTTTCCATCTCATGTAAAGACATTTACTTTAAAAGCAAACTTTACATCTCAAAACCCATCTCACCTGCCATAGACAGAAAGTAACTTTACAAATAAAAACAAAGCAAAGTGAGTCATTAGCTTCTGTGAAAGGGTCTGAGCCTGACACCTGCTCTCCCTTTAAAAAAAAAAAAAGCCAGCGTGGGAGTGGGAGAGATTAGCCAGTGTGAGGAAGGAGGAGGAAGCGTGGCCCAAGGGGATCCTCCAGTCAGAGACTGAAAGCGATGGGCAATGGGGGAGGCCGGATGATTTGGCGCTGGTGTGAGGGCCCCTGGAGGTGCGTCTCACACCTTTGAGGACACTGCTCTTGACCCAGAAGCTGAAGAGAAGAAAACAAACTTCTGGAATCAAAGGAGCTCCCTTCAGTCCCTCTTTGTCCCACAATAAGCCATGGAGTTGCAGGCATGGTGGGGGCTCCAGAGGGCACCCCAGGACTTTCCTGTGGGTCAGGACCTGACATGGGGCAGACACAGGGACCGGGACTCACCCACAGGCAGGTCCTCAGGCAGGATCACTGACGTCATGTTGGCTAGGAACTTCGGGGCCACGTTGGCTGCCACTGTAGGGACACAGTGTGCTGGAACATCGGGACACCCCTGCAAAACCCGATCCCTACCTGCTCCCCTGGGAGCACACACTAGTCCTTATGGCCACCCAGGCCACCCGTCCAGGCCTGGATTCCTCCCCAGGCCTCCCCAGCTTAGCCAAGCACAGGGCTGGCCCATAGGAGCTGGTGTTTGCTGATGAGGGATCCCCCTCCTTTCTGGAGGGTCCTGCCAAGGGTCTCTAGGTTAGGGCTGCGTGGCTGGGGAGGGGAGACACCTACCAGACACCACGAGGGCAGGAAGGAGGAAGCAGGACAGCCATAGCTGGGCCATCACATCCGCAGGGACCTAAGGGAAGAGGTCAGGGAATGGCTCCTGGACTCAGGCCTCCCTCCTTTTGGCAGACTCCCATCTGCCTGGGTCTGACCTGAGCCCACCCACCACTGCTGCTTAGTAGTTCTCCCCCAGGGCCTCTATCACCCTCTGTCCATTTTCCAGATGCTCTAGGGTCAGGGGAACCAAGGGGGAGGCCAGGTGGGGTAGGGGTGACCACGATGTCTGAACCTGAATCCAGGACCTGCCATGCACCAGGAAATGCTCCAAGGCACTAGATGTGCAGCTGTGTTATTCCCACAACTGTGAGGTGGCTGCTAAGGCACCAAGATACGAAGGGGCTTGCCTGAGGCCACGGGGAGTCAATGACAAGACCATGCTTGGAACACAGGTCTTTTGGAGTCCAGAGTTCATTCTCTCAACCACTGCACCATCTATACCTGCCTGTTAGAAGTGTTCAAACTAATAGTATCCTTCACAATCAAGACCCTGGAGAGGGACCATAATTTGTCCAGGACCATCCAGAGACTATGGGTGGGCAGGGTCCTTCGTTCACCTGCTGATACATCTAGTGGCTGTCTTTGCAGCCTTTCCCAAACTGTGCTCCGTGGAACCCTGGCCCTCTGAGATGCGCCACAGCAGAAGGGTTCCCCAGTCAGGTGGGTCTAGGGAGGGCTGCATACTCTGGGATCCTCTTGTTGATTGATAGCCAGACAGAGACCTTAGAAAACCCTGCTGGGCCAGTCTTTTTGATCATCTTATGTTGCAAGCCGTCCCTTGTTAGGGAAAAGGAGAAAAGGGGGACTTTGATTCACTGTCACAGAGAGACCTGAAACATCAAGGCCCTTTCAATGCCCAAAGACAAGGCTGGGCGTGGTGGCTCACGCCTGTAATCCCAGCACTTCGGGAGGCCGAGGCGGGCGGATCACCTGAGGTCAGGAGTTCAAGACCAGCCCGACCAACATGGTGAAACCCTGTCTCTAACAAAATACAAAAAACGTTAGCCGGGCATGGTGGTGGGTGCCTGTAATCCCAGCTACTCGGGAGTCTGAGGCAGGAGAATTGCTTGAATCCGGGAGGCGGAAGTTGCAGTGAGATGAGATCACGCCATCGCATTCCAGCCTGGGAGACAGAGTGAGACTCCGTCTCAAAAAAAAAAGAATCCCCAAAGACAACTGATGTGTCACTCCACAGAAAGCAGGAGAGCAGGATGGGCCCCCACACGTTTTGTTTCTTGCTGTCTGTCTAGAAAGTTGTCTGTATGCTCTATGTTCACTGTGCTACTCTATAATCTTTCTGTAAGACAGGGCTTTTTACTGTATACTTTTTTCTTTTGAGACAGTGTTTCACTATGTTGCCCAGGCTGGCCTTGAACTTCTGGGCTTGAACTCCTGAGTAGCTGGGATTACAGACGTGTGCCACTGTGCCCAGTTTTTTACTGTATACTCTTTTGTGCTGATTGAATATGTTAACTTTTCCAAAAATGAATTAAACAAGCTTGAAAGCAAACAAAGGAACACATTTGCTACTGTAAACTAAAAATAAAATCCTATGCCTCCCACTGACTAAACGGCCCCACTTGTGGCCCAGGAGACCCCAGAAAAACTTTCAAAACTTAGTTTCCAGCCATGGCGGGATGGGAGGTCAATCATGCCTCATTATACCCTTCTCTTTTACAGGCGACACACAATAACCGACCAGCGTTAATGTTAAAATAGAGTTCGCAGGACTGAAAGAATAGACATTCCGTGGCAATAAGATGCCAAATTATAAACAGGACCTGAGGCCATGCCAGGCCAGGGTGAAGCCAGGCAGCCCTACAGAAGAAACTCTGTTCTAACTGCCATGAGGGTTTTTTTTTTCTTTTTCTCTAGCAGCTAAATAAGCACTGGCCTCGAGAAAAGCCAAATTAAAGCAATTACAGCTCATCCAGTTCACAGCTGCTGACGAACTGAGCCCCTGTTCCACCAGCCATAACCGCAGCCTTTTTTGTTTGTTTGGTTTTGAGACAGAGTCTCACTCTGTCACCCAGGCTGGAGTGCAGTGGTGCCATCTCGGCTCACTGCAACCTCTGCCTCCATTGTTCAAGTGATTCTCCTGCCTCAGCCTCCCGAGTAGCTGGGATTACAGGCACCCACCACCACACTGGGCTAATTTTTGTATTTTTAGTGGAGACGGGGTTTCACCGTGTTGGCCAGGCTGGTCTTGAACTCCTGACCTCAAGTGATCTGCCTGCCTCGGCCTCCCAAAGTGCTGGGATTACAGGTGTGAGCCACTGCGCCCAGCCCATAACCACAGCCTTGACTGGACAAGAGACTGATTTCAGTAACTTTCTCCTGATAAGAGCCCACCAACCACAGACCGGCTCCAGCTCATTCAGAGATTGCTTACTCATGCACCTTCCATGTCACAAAAAGGCCTTTTGATGTATAGGGCGTAATTGTAATACATTTACATGTTAAGTTGCCACCCCAAGTGAGCGTGGATCATATGTTGCATGCACGTGTGTTCAACATGCATGTGTCAGGAGCTCCTTTATGAATATGCATAGCTCCTCCTGTAACCTGTTGAATATGTATGTGTAGCCACACTGTCCAGCACCAAGCTCCTGCCCCAAACCCCATTTCGAAGTGTCTGTCTCTGGTCTTGGCCGGAGGGATGGCCACCTGCACATGGTCCCCTCTCTTTTTCTAGATTTATATTTTGTGTTTTTAAAAAAGTTAACACTACCAAGCACCCTCACCTGGTCCTGGGCACCTCTTCATGTCCCTTTCCCTCCTGCCCCAGAGCATCTGAAGTAAGCACGCAGCCCTGGGGAGGAGTGGGGGTAGAGGATGGCTTCCAGAGCCGAGCCCTGATGATGAAACAGCATCAAAAACCAGAACTCTCCCTCACACTGCCCACCCCTCCTCCCGAGTTCCAGCCTCGGGGAGCCACCCACCTGCCCACGCCATTCTGACACCTCCTTCTCCTGAACGCCCACGTCCAATCCGTGCAGCCTCCTCTGTTTCTCTCTAATCAGCCTGCATCTCTCCATCCCATACTGGCCGCCCTCCCTGGGGACACTGTCCTCAGCCTCCTCAAGGCCTCCCTTCCTCCAGCCTCTCTAATCCATCCCACTCAACCAAACTAGTCCTTCTGCACATAATCTAATCTTTTCCGCCCTCACTCAAAACCCTTCGATGGCTCCCCATTGCTAGAGTCCAGACTCCATAAAAGGGCTTCCCAAAGACTACCCTCGACCACTCCAGCTTCACCTCGAACCACTCCCTGCATCTCAGCCCACCCCTCATCTCCCGCACGCCCACAGACTCCCTCTGCCTGCTCTCACTACTGCCCGTCCCTCTTTTTGGAATGCTCTTCCCCGCCTTGCTGGCTGATGCACTCTCTTCATTTTTAAAAGCCAGCTCCAAGGCTGGGTGCGGTGGCTCATGCCTGTAATCCCAGCACTTTGGGAGGCCAAGGCAGGTGGATCACTTGATGTCGGGAGTTTGAGAGCAGCCTGGCCAACATGGTGAAACCCCATCTCTACTAAAAATACAAAAATTAGCCGGGCGAGGTGGCACATGCCTGTAGTCCCAGCTACTCAGGAGACTGAGGCAGGAGAATCGCTCGAACCCGGGAGGTGGAGGTTGCAATGAGTCGAGATCATGCCACTGTACTCCAGCCTGGGTGACAGAGCGAGACTCCACCTCAAAAAAAAAAAAAAAAGAACCCAACTCCAGGATCCCCTTCTGTCCAGACACGCCCTCAATGCTCCCACAGGAGAAACTGCCTCCTCCGCCCATCCATGGTGACCTCACAGGATGCTGCATACACCTGAGAGTAACCTCTGTTATCTCTTTGCAGATGAGCCTCTCCCACCAGGCCAGAAGAGATGTGAGGGCAAGGTCTGCGTCTGATGCACCTTTGTGACCCCAGGACCAAGCACAGGGCTGAGCCCAGTGTAGGCTCAGTGAGTATTTCTGAAAGGAATGAATGGATGAGCCAGTGAGTCACTGCAACCCCAGGTGGCTTATCCAGAACACCCATGAGATAGAGCAGAGTGTAATGTGGTATGTGGACCTGAGAGCCTGGGTCCAAATCCAGCATAACCTTGGGCAAGTAACATACCCTCTCTGGGCCTCAGCTTCCTCACCTGTAAGATGGGAATAATAACAGCACCTACACCAGGGGTTTGTGTTGAGGCTTAAACAGTGCCTAGCTCACAGTAAGTACATAATAAATGTGAGAAGTTATTATTGCAGGAAAAGGACGGTCTGTCTCTTGCCCTTCTCATTGTTGGAGTTCCCATTCCTGGTTCCTCTCTTCCGGAGAACTCTGCCCTGGCCAGCACTGGCTAGCTGCAGGCCCTCCTCCCCCAGTGTGCCCTAGACAGTCAGAGATCCTGGTTCTGATCTGGCTACGTGCTTCCCGGGCATGGTCAGCACCCCGCCCTGAAGCCCCAGCACAGCATTCCCTCTTTTAATTCAGATTCATCTCGCCATGCTCCCCACAGACCTGCTGGGGAAACATGGAACATCAGGAAGGCTGACAATCTTAAATAGCTGCTGGCGTTTCCTGAGCACCTAATATGTGCCGAGTACCCTGATTCGCTCATTCATTCCCTCAGTAAATAGTTACTGGGTATCCATGAGCCGCTATCTGCCAGACCCTGCTCCCAGCAATGGGAAGGCAATGGTGAGCAAAACAGTGCAGGTTCTGAATGAGACAGACTACAGACGAGTACGCAAAGTACCACCTAATAGTGCACTGCATCCCTGCTGTGGAGGAGGGGGATGTGGGCGTGATGAGAGTGAAAGAAGGGAACCGCTTTAAGTGGTATGGCAGACAAACATGACCACAGATCTTTTGACACTCCTTCCTGCAAGAGATGAGGACTATGTCTGCTCCCCTTGAATCTGGTGTATTAATCATTCTTTTTTGGCGTCTTTTTTTTTTTTTAATTTATTTATTGAGACAGAGTTTTACTCCTGTCGCCCAGGCTGGAGTGCAGTAGTGCGATCTTGGCTCACTGCAACCTCCACCCCCTGGGTTCAAGTGATTCTCCTGCCTCAGCCTCCCGAGTAGCTGGGATTACAGGGTGCGCCACCACGCCTGGCTAATTTTTGTATTTTTAGTAGAGACGGGGTTTCACCATGTTGGCCAGGCTGGTCTCGAACTCCTGACCTCAGGCAATCTGCCCGCCTCGGTCTCCCAAATTGCTGGGATTACAGGCGTGAGCCACTGCGCCCAGCCATTTGTTTTTATTTTCTGTGTTTTATGATGCTTTGACATCTTTGGGGCCTTGCTGGTTAGGGAGAGACTTCCCTCCTAGGGCTGGCTAATTCCCAGAGACAGCAAGCGCCTTGCCTTCAGACCTGCCTCTCCTATGCAAACCAACCAATCCAAAGCCACGCCTCAACCACCCTTTATCTAATTCTCACATACGAAGCCGATATTTCCTCGCTGTTAAACACCTCTGTCCTCTACCCACTAGATGCCAGTAGCAACCCCCAAGTTGCAACAGCCAAAAATGTCTCCAGACATTGCCAGGTGTCTCCTGATGGGGGAGGGGCCAGATGTCTCCTGATGGGGGAGGGAGAGTGGTGGTAAGATCACCCCTAGTTGACAGCCACTGTTATAGATTTTAAAAAAAATGCAGGAATTAAAAATTTAATGGAGGAATCAGAATATAAAGTTGAGAAATGGAAACTAGGAGAGAAAAATAAGAAATTAGAGGATTAATCCAGGAGGTCCAATGTCTGATTAATAGAAGTCCCAGAAAGAGAAACAGAGAAGGAAAACAGGGAAAGGAAACTATCAAATGAGTACAAACAATAGATTTTGTATAAGTGAATAACACATTTCCAGACTGAAAGAATTCCAAGAACAAATTTTAGAAAGAAAGGAAAAGAAAACCCAAGCCAAAGCATTTTGAGAGTATTAGGGATAAAGACAAGACCCTGAAATCCTCTGCAGAGAAAAACAAGTGACATACAAAGGACCCAGAATCAGAAGGTTATGGGGCTTTTCGGTAACAATCCTGGAGTTAATGGAGCTATGTGTGGGAGATTAATGGTGTCACAAATTATTTGATATTCCTTCTATTGAGAAGGGAAGTCTAATTCCTCCTCTTGAATCTGAGCTGGCCTTAGTGACTTGCTTGATCAACAGAACGTGGCAGAAATGCAGCATTCAGAAGCTCTGCAGCTTACACCTGGGCCTCTTGGGCCACTTTGCTCTAGGAACCTGGAGATACTTTGTTAGAAGTTCAACTACCCTGAGGCCGCCATGTTATAAGGAAGCCCAAGCTAACCACGTTAAGAGGCCTGTGCGTTGAGGGAGAGCAAGATGTCTAGCCAGTCCCCACTGTCCAACCGCTAATCTTTTACATAATCCCAGCTGAGGCCCCAGACACCATGGAACAGAGTTGAGCAATTCCTGCTATGCCCTATCCAAACTCTTATCCTATAGAATCAGGAAATGAGATTTACACCTCTGGCTAGGGTGAAGGGATGAACTTATGATACCATGTAGAAAACTAAGCAAGCAACCGGGCGCGGTGGCTCACGCCCGTAATCCCAGCACTTTGGGAGGCCGAGGTGGGCGGATCACAAGGTCAGGAGATCGAGACCATCCTGGCTAACACGGTGAAACCCTATCTCCATTAAAAAATACAAAAAATTAGCCAGGCGCGGTGGCTCACGCCTGTAATCCCAGCACTTTGGGAGGCTGAGGTGGGTGGATCGCCTGAGGTCAGGAGTTTGAGACCAGCCTGACCAACATGGAGAAACCCCGTCTCTACTAAAAACAGAAAAAATTAGCTGGGCGTGGTGGCACATGCCTGTAATCCCAGCTACCTGGGAGGCTGAGGCAGGAGAATTGCTTGAACCTGGGAGGCGGAGGTTGCAGTGGGCCGAAATCGCACCATCGCACTCCAGCCTGGGCGACAAGAGGGAAACTCCATCTCAAAAAAAAAAAAAAAAAATTAGCTGGGCATGGTGGCGGGCGCCTGTAGTCCCAGCTACTAGGGAGGCTGAGGCAGGAGAATGGTGTGAACCCGGGAGACGGAGCTTGCAGTGAGCCGAGATGGCGCCACTGCACTCCAGCCTGGGCGACAGAGTGAGACTCCGTCTCAAAAAAAAAAAAAAAAAAATAAGAAAAGAAAACTAAGCAAGCAAAACCAGTGACCATGCAGGAAAGGAAAGCTGTACTAGAAGGAGCCCAGGAACATCATACGCCAGTGGCTCAGGGGGTCCCGTTCCCATGGTCGATGGACTACAACCTTACCATGCGCGCTGGGGAAGCGTGATGGGCTGTAAGATAATAAAATCCTCATCTTTCACTTTAAGAAATTAACAGATAGGCCAGGCTCGGTGGCTCACACCTGCAATCCCAGCACTTTGGGAGGCCAAGGCGGGTGGATCACGCGGTCTGGAGTTTGAGACCAGCCTGGCTAACATGGCAAAACCCTGTGTCTACTAAAAATACAAATATTAGCCGGGCATGGTGGCGGGCTCCTGTAACCCCAGCTATTTGAGAGGCTGAGGCAGGAAAATCGCTTGAACCTGGAAGGCAGATGTTGCAGTGAGCCAAGATCGCACCACTACACTCTAGCCTGGGCAACAGAGCAAGACTCCATTTCAAAATAAAAAAAAAAGAAAGAAAGAAAGAAAGAAAGAAAAAAAAATCAACAGATAATGACTTAGCCCAGGAGGCCGAGGTTGCAGTGAGCAGAGATTTCGTCACTGCACTCCAGCCCGGGCGACAGAGCAAGACCCTATCTCAAAAAAAAAAAAAAAAAAAAAAATCTAAGAAGGTGATAATAAAAAGGAAATAAACAGATAATGTCTTAAAAATTATGAGGCCAGGCACAGTGGCTCACGCCTATAATCCCAGCACTTTGGGAGGCCAAGGCAGATGGACCACTTGAGCTCAGGAGTTTGAGACCAGCCTGACCTACATGGCAAAAACCCGTCCCTGCAAAAAATACAGAAATTAGGCCAGCGTAGTGGCACATGCCTGTAGTCCCAGCTACTTGGGAGGCTGAGGTAGGAGGATCACTCGAGCCCAGGAGCTTGAGGCTGCAGGGAGCCATGAGCACACCACTGCACTCCAGCCTGGGTGACAGAGTGAGATCCTGTCTCAAAAAACAAAAAAAGCAAAACAACAAAATATTATTAAATAACAGGCCAGGCGCCATGGTGCATGCCTGTGGTCCTAGCTACTCGTGAGGCTGAGGTGGGAGAACTGCTTGAGCCCGGGAGTTTGAGGCTGCAGGGAGCCAAGACCTTCCCACTGCACTCCAGCCTTGGGCAACAGAGCAAGAATCCACTGCTAAAAAAAAAAAAAAAGAGAGAGAGAGAGAGAAAGAAGGAAGGAAGGAAGAGAGGAAGGGAGGAAGGGAGGGAGGGAGCGGGGAAGGGGAGGGAGGGGAGGAGGCCAAAGGAGGTGAAAGCAGTTGCTTCTAGAGAGTGGATACTGGGGATGTGGGGTGTGGGTCAGGAAAAGGCCGGCTTTTGTTATAAACCTTGTAGTATCATTTGATATTTTTGTTTGTTTGTTTTAAGGCTAGTCAAGTGAAGCAGTTTGAGTGGAGAAGGAAGAAAGCAATCTGTAACCTGTTGTGATAAATTAGTTGTAAACACCACTGCACTTGGACCAGCCTGTTTAGGTGTTTTTTGTTTGTTTGTTTGTTTGTTTTTTGAGACGGAGTCTCGCTCTGTCGCCCAGGCTGGAGTGCAGTGGCAGGATATCGGCTCACTGCAAGCTCCGCCTCCCGGGTTGATGCCATTCTCCTGCCTCAGCCTCCCGAGTAGCTGGGACTACAGGTGCCTGCCACCACACCCGGCTAATTTTTGTATTTTTAGTAGAGACTGGGTTTCACCATGTTAGCCGGGATGGTCTCGATCTCCTGACCTTGTGATCCGCCCGCCTCGGCCTCCCAAAGTGCTGGGATTACAGGCGTGAGCCACCGCGCCCGGCCTGTTTAGGTGTTTCTTGAGACAAGGTCTTGCTCTGTCACCCATTCTGGAGTGCAATGGCGCTATCCTGGCTCAGGGCAGCCTCAGACTCCTGGGCTCAAGCGATCCTCCCATCTCGGCCTCCTAAAGTGATGAGATTACAGGTGTGAGCCACCGTGACTGGCCTATTTGATATTTTTAAAAATTAAATGCCCATATTGCTGTGATAAGGTGAGCACTGTTATGCGGGAGTCCCAAGTAGCACAAACAATATGAGAGATGGCCTGGGCCAGGGAAGAACCAGGTGTATTCCAGGAGTTCAAAGAAGGTCCCTGTGGCTGGGTTGCAGGGAGAGAGGTGGGGAATCATGGGAGGGAGGCAGGTTGAGAAATCTGGCAGGGCCAGAGCATGCTCCACCCTATGAGACACAGGAAGGATGTTTCATTTTATTCTAAGAAAAACAAAAAACAGTAGGTCATTTCAGAGGGGGTTTTTTTTGTTTGTTTTGAGATGGAGTCTTACTCTGTCTCCCAGGCTGGAGGGCAGTGGGGCGATCTCGGCTCACTGCAACCTCTGCCTCCCGGGTTCAACCGAGTCTGCTGCCTCAGCCTCCCGAAGGATTACAGGCGTGAGCCACCACACCTAGCTAATTTTTTTATTTTTAGTAGAGATGGGGTTTTGCCATGTTGGCCAGGCTGGTCTCGAACTCCTGACCTCAGGTGATCCACCCACCTCGGCCTCCCAAAGTGCTGGGATTACAGGCGTGAGCCATCCACTGCACTTGGCCCATTTCAGAGTTTTAAGCAGGGGAGTGGCAGGCAGTAATTTCCTCTTAAGACCTTTCTGGCTGCTGTGTGTCGCCGGGCTGAACTGGGGGCAGCAGGGCTGGAGGGGAGGCAAGAGCAGGGCTATAGTTTGGAGGCAGAATATTTGGGATTCATAGAATTTCATCTTCACAGCAACTCATTTTGCAGATGAGCAAACAGGCTCTTGCTGGGAGTGTTCCGCTGAGGCCCTCACAGCTGAAAGTGAGTGGGATTCACAGCCACTCTCCGATCCCAAGGCCCTCGCCTCTCCCTGAGGCAGGGAGAAGGAGGCAGGCCTCCCGTGGCCCCAGGGCCCTAGCAAGAGGAGAAAACCCCAGTTCAGATGTGGACCCCAAAGCTTCAAAATGTTTGCCCTGTTGACCTACTCATCCAACTAACATAGAATAAGAAGCTCTTTTTGCAGAAAGTTGTTGACCGTGAGTGATTATTTATAATCATGGGAAGCTGGAAGTGACCGTAACATGAAACACAGGCAATGATGTAGAAAGATGTGGACAAGCCCTGGGTGGGATGTTTGGCAACCGTTAAACATTACAGCAATGAATAGCAAGAGACTCGTGGAGGAAGCACCTCCTGCCTCTCAGAACTTGAGCCGGGCACTACGTAATGCTCACAAAATCCCTTCGAGGCTGGGTGTGGTGGCTCACACCTGTAATCCCAGCACTTTGGGAGGCCAAGGCGGGCAGATCACTTGAGGTCAGGAGTTCAAGACCAGCTTGGCCAACATGGTGAAACCCCGTCTCTACTAAAAATACAATAATTAGCTGGGTGTGGTGGCACGTGCCTGTAATCCTCAGGAGGCTGAGGCCAGAGAATGGTGTGAACCCGGGAGGTGGAGGTTGCAGTGAGCCGAGATCGTGCCACTGCACTCCAGCCTGGGAGACAGAGCGAGACACTGTCTCCAAAACAAAACAAAACAAAAACAAAAACAAAAAACCCTTCTAGATTGGTACCATTCTACCCACTTTACAGATGGGGAAAACAAAGCTCAGAGAGGTGAAGAGCCTGGCTTGAGTTTACAGAGTCAAGGAGCAGCAGAGCTTCGCTGGGCAGTTCACTGCCCTTCTCTAAGCGTTCCCTCCCCTGTGAGAATAATAACCCCACTAAGTGATGAGGGTAGGCAGCGGGGGATGAGTGGGAATAAGAATGTGCCACCTCAGCGCCTGGCACACAATAGGCGCTCAGCAAGTGCAAACCTTCTTCCTTCCGTGGGGTTGTCCTCACCTTATGGCTGCTCCTCCCACTGCAATCACCATGGAAACAGCTTCCTCCCTCCCTGGTGACCATCCACGCTCCCCAGGGTCTGAGACTGCTTGCAGAGGTCAGAGCTAAATGGGCAGGGCCAGGGCTGTGTGTGGAGGAGCCCTGGGGCTGTTTCTCATGCTACCTTCCATGTGACTCTAGCCAGGGGAACCTTGGGAAGTTGCTGTGGAAAATGCTGGCTTGCCAAGAACCCCGGAGATGACAGCTGGGGACAGCCCACATGCTGAACGGCAGGGCTGCACTCAGCCAGACTGATAAATACAGATGTGCCCCACCGCTCAGGGGAATTAGTAAGTTCTCAGTCCTCAGAACCCCCAGCAGTGCTGAGCCACAGTCCTCAGTGAGACAGGGACAGCGATGTGGGTACAGCTACACCCTGGAGAGTGACATCATAGCGCTGGAGTCAAGGGCAGTGAGTGAGGTGGTCATGGAGGCAGGGTCCAATATCAGGATAGGGATCCCTCGGGGGTAGGGGTGGCACTGGTGGTGGTAAGTAGGGACGGACATGCTGATGATGTGTGTGCTGATGAAGGTGGAGACGCAGGTGGCGCTGGTGGAGGTGACAGTTGGGGGAGGGAGATGGTGGTGGTGGCGGGGCTGGCGGTGGAGACGCAGGTGAGCTGGGCATTAGCGGTACTGCTAGACTGCAGGTGTCCATTGTGTAAGGAACAGCCAGGGGCTGGATGCGTCCAGCCCAGGCATCCCTCTGAGGCTGTAACCTGGAACCTACCTCCCTCCTCACTTTTTTCTCTCATGTTCTGTCCTTCAGAAATGAGTCAACTGCCACGGGACAATTAGTCACTAGGTGTGCAGCCAGCAGGTATCAAGATGGATTCATCATCATTACAAAGTTCCCCTGGGTCCAGCCTGCAGGACAGGAGATTCCTGCCCTCAGGGTCCCTCCTCCCAGTCCCAGAGGAAAATGGGAACTGGCAAGGAAGGGCCGTGTACCGAGGCTAGCACTTTGCCCCCATTACCATTTAGTCCTCAGCAAACTGACGTCCAAGAGGGGAAAGGGCGCGGCCCAGCCAGTAATGGGCAGAACCCAAGCCAGGCCTGTGCCTTCTCTCTTTTCTAGGCTCCTGGGTTTTCCTTCTTGAGCTGCCCGATTTTCCCACAGGTCATGCTGAGCCCACAAACATGTGATGTTGAGAGAGAACAGCCCGAACCAGGACCTTCACCCAGTCCCCGAGGCGCCTCCCCCTACAGCCCCTTCCCCATACACGCCACGCTTCTCCCTCATGGAAGTGTCTCCCAACTCCCCCCTCCCCATCTCACAGGGCAGGATGGAGGGCCTCAAGAAGCCTGGGGACCCTCACTCAGAGCAACAGCGATGCCCCTTTGCATTTGTGTGATGCACGCACAGTCTCTCCCCTGCATGTGGGCCCAGCCATCCCCCTGGAAGGAAGAGCTGGATTCATCAATCCCCTTTATGCACACAGACATGAGTGCAGGAGGCCAGGGTTCCTGCCCAGCAGCTCCAAGGCTGTCAGCGGCAGAGTGGGGGTGCCACCCTGTCTGCCTCCCAGGCCAGTGCTCTTTCTTGCCTCATCCCTGCCTCGCCTGCCTCCTGCTCTGCTGGGGTTGGCCCCGGGTTTCTCGCAGTCCTGCCTCCTCATGATCATGATGAGGCTGGCGTTCTACAGTCCAGAGCATCTGCCTCTGGATTCAGTCACTTGGGGAAAAAGCACAGTGTCTGTGTGGGCTGGCGAAGGCGCAATAACGGCCTGCCCCAATGCTAAGCCTTCCCCATGATAGGTCACTCCCAAGCTCAAATCTCCTCCATGGCTCCCACTGGCTGCAGGACACACTGCCTGCCCCTCAGCCTGACAGGCGAGGTCCTTGGAGGTCCTGGGTCTTGCTTTTTCCACACGAGCTGCTCTCTCCCACTCCTGAGGTCCAGTGGTGTTGAATGCTCCTGTTCTCGGTCCACACCCTGCATTGTCCTTCCTCCATTTGCCTAAACCATTCCCTCTGCCCAGAATGTCTTTCTTTGCCTTCTGCCTACATGCAAATCCTCTCCATTCTGTAAGGCCCAGATCAGCTGTGGAGCTGTGTTCAGGCAGTTGGTGGCCCCCACTCTGGGCTCCTCATTTCCTGGTACCCCAGCAAGGGGCAGGAGCAAGGCACAAATGGAAACCGAGTGAATGGAGTTGCCCCTGGGCTGGGACTTGCGGACAGGCACCCGCTTTTCCCTGCTGGGGCAGCCTCAGGCCAACGCATGGGTGTGAAACAAGGTCCCAGTCACTGCACAACCGTACCCCTGGGCTCTTTTCTCTGTTTGCTCCTTTTAAAAATGGGAACTATTAACCGGGCGCGGTGACTCACGCCTGTAATCCCAGCACTTTGGCGGGCCGATTACGGGGTCGGGGTCAGGAGATCGAGACCATCCTGGCTAACATGGTGAAACGCCGTCTCTACTAAAAGTTCCCCAAAAAAAAAAAAAATATTAGCCAGGCGTGGTGGCGGGCGCCTGTAGTCCCAGCTACTTGGAAGGCTGAGGCAGGAGAATGGCGTGAACCCGGGAAGCGGAGCTTGCAGTGAGCCGAGATGCCGCTACTGCACTCCAGCTTGGGTGACAGAGCGAGACTCTGTCTCAAAAAAAAAAAAAAAAAAGAGAACTCTTGGCTAGGTGTGGTGGCAGTCCAGGCCAATACCAATAGTTCTCATTTTTTAAAGGAGCAAACACAGTCCAGCACTTTGGGAGGCTAGAGTGGGAGGATCACTTGAGCCCAGAAGGTTGAGGCTGCAGTGAGCCGAGATCGCGCCACTGCACGCCAGCCTGGGCGACAGAGCAAGACCTTGTCTCAAAAAATAAAAATAAAATAAAGTAATTTAAAATGGGGACTATCTATATTCCAGAAATTACTGCTTCCTTGTTCTCAAGCCCTCCGGCCACTACTGTTGTTTCCCTGCTCTCAAAAAATGCCTGGACCAGCCTGACCAACATGGTGAAACCCTGTCTCTACTAAAAATACAAAAATTAGCCAGGCATGGTGGCGCACACCTGTAATCCCAGCTATTCGGGAGGCTGAGGCAGGAGAATCACTTGAACCAAGGAGGCAGAGGTTGTGGTGAACTGAGATCGCACCACTGCACTGGAGCCTGGGCGACAAGCAAGACTCCATCTCACAAAAAAAAATTAGCCAGACGTGGTGGCGTGCACCTGTAATCCTAGCTAGTCAGGAGGCTGAGGCAGGAGAATCGTTTGAACCAGGGAGGCACAGGTTGCAGTGAGCCGAGATAGCGCCTTGCACTCCAGCCTGGGCAACAGAGTGAGAATCCGTCTCAAAAAGAAAGTGCTTAGGGAAGGACCAAAAAGGACACAGAGAAGAATCAGGGAGACTCTGGCCCCCACGCCATGAGATGTGTAGTCTCCAGGAATCCTCACTGGTCCCACCTGGCCCAGGAGGTGCCAGCTCTTCAGCCTTGGCTGAGAGGAGGCTTCAGCCGCATCTCAGAGCAGTCCACGGTGCCAAGATTTTCTAGAATTTGGAACCACTGGGAGTGAGGATACCCGGACTGCCCAGGACCTCCAGGAGGGTCAGGGTGGGGAGGTGGGTCCTCCTTCAGTGTGGGGAGCCCCCGGGGTGCACTCAGCCACGATGCTACAGAGCTCCCCCAGCACCGCCACCGCTACACGGCCAGCTCGCCATGCACTTTCACTTCTGCTTTTTCATTTACTTCTCACAGCTGTTCCCAAGCAGGAATTATCCTATCCTATTATTCCAAGGAAACCGAGGCTCATAGATGCCCAGAGATGGGTGAGCCAGGGGCAGCAGGTTAGACCCAGGCTGCCTCCAAATCCAGGGGTCCCTGGGCAAGCCTTGGTCTGGGCTCCGTTGATCCAGGAGGCCGTGCCTGCACCCACAGAGCGGACTCCAGCCGAGCCTGGGTGCCCGGAGCAAGGATGTGGGACCTGAGCACGCAGCTCCCCGCCACGGGCCCTCCCAGTGCCTATGGCCCAGGCCACCTGGCCCAGCAGACACATACAGACTCAAACAGCCCTGGGTTCAGATGGCAGCATTTCACATATTTGTTGTGCAACCCCAGGCAAGCCCTCTCCCCTCTCCAGGCCTCAGTTTCCCCTGCTGAGAAGCAGAGTGAGGATAAAAATCAAGGGGTCTACACACGGGCCATGACTTGTTTCCATCTGCCGGACCTCGGTGCTCACTGGGACCCTGCCTTGTGCCTGGTGCCCAACCCAGCACAGGCCTGCCTGAGTGACGCAGCATGGCCCCGACTCTCAGCTGGGTCACCACCTCCTCTACCAGGGCAGAGAGATGTGCAAGGCCCGGACTGGGCAGAGCTGGGGCCAGCCTGGGTCAGTCCCTGCCTGACACTTCCTAGCACTGGCTGAGGTGGCACTGGGCTCGGTCATAGGCCACATGCTCACCTTTGCCTCAGGGCTTTTCAGGCCCTTTCTGGAACTCTTCTCATCCCCATTTGATAAATGAGGAAACGGAGGCCCAGAAGAGTTAAGTAGCCCACCAAGGTCAGGGTGGAGCTGGGATGTGAACCGAGCAGCTGGGGTAAGAGCCCAGGTCAGCTTCCCCGTCCTCAACCCCTGAGCATCCTATGAAGGGGTCAGGCCAGTTACCTCGTTTCCCTGGGGTGCCTGCCTCCCTTCCATCCTCTGAAGAATCATCCCTTGAGGACTTGGATGGGAAGGGGGCCATCAGCCCCCAGGGAAGGAGGTATTATTATCCCATGTTTACCAAAGAAACAGGCCTCACAGCAGGCTGGGACCTGACCCGGCTCTGCCCCATCTAGCGTGTGACTTCCCCTGCCCAGCTTCAGGGGAGACTTTTAAAGACCCCCAAGCTTGCCTTGGCTCTAGGGATCCCCCCAACCCCCACATTTCTCTGGCCCAGAGACCCCCGATGAGCTGGATAGTCCCTACCTGTGTCCCCTTCGCCACGGAGGCGGCAGGCAGGCGCCGGACAGGCGCTGGCACACAGGTGGGCACCCTCTGCGGCCTGCAGCTATGTGGCCAGCAGACTTTGGCACCATCTCCACCTCCACTGAGCAATCATTAACCCTGCCAGAGACCACACCTCCCAGGAGGGGTCGACTCCTAATGAGGCAGAGTACAGCTGGGGGCGCCGGACAGGAGGAAGGGACCAAGGCGCCAGAGCTCCTGGCGCTCCTGGGGCTGGAGGCCCACACCACAGGAGAAGGGGCCTGGCCGACCCTGAGCCCAGAGGACCTGGGAACAAGGCCCAACACTGGGGCAGGCTGGAGGCGGGGACGGTGACAGTCAGAAGGTGATGCCAGAGCCCCCGTCCCCTCCCTGCTACGAGTCTTCAGTGACAGGGGATCTGTGGACAAGTGGGGGATTGAGTCAGGAGAGGGAAGTGGTAAAACAGTGTAACAATCAAACACTGTGTGGCCAGACCAGCCCCTGTGAGGTTCTCGTGGAGGACTGGGGGCTAGCTGAGCCTGGACAACCCACTTTCGAGCCTGTTGACACTGATCTCACCCCGCATTGAGACCCTCAAAAGGCATCTGCCCGTCCCCAGGGGCTTCATCCACTCCCAAGTTGCCTTTTTTTTTTAATTATTTATTTATTTTTGAGTCAGAGTCTTGCTCTGTCACCCAGGCTGGAGTGAAGTGGCACAATCTTGGCTCACTGCAATCTCTGCTTCCTGGGTTCAAGCAATTCTCCTACCTCAGCCTCTCGAGTAACTGGGATTACAGGCGTGGGCCTCCACACCCGGCTAATTTTTTTTGTATTTTTAGTAGAAACAGGGTTTCACCATGTTGGCCAGGCTGGTCTCGAACTCCTAACCTCAGGCGATCCGCCTGCCTCGGCCTTCCAAAATGCTGGGATTACAGGGATGAGCCACGGAGCTCGGCCCCCAGGCTGGCTTTAAGCGCTGCCCGATGTGGTGGCCTCCCGAAGGGGCTCAGCCACAAGTCCTTCTTATCCTCACTTTGGCCCAGCCATCACAGTTGACACAGAAAGGGGACCCTGGGCACAACTTTCTTAAGGCACACCACTGAGTCGTCACCATTGGGTGGCCCTCTTCTTGTGGGCAGAGGACATGTCTAATTCACAATAGATATATAGTCATGCACCATATATCTGTGTTTTGGTCAACAACGAACCACACATATAATAGCGGTCCCATAAGAGTATAATATCATCTTTCATGGCACCCTTTCTGTGTTTACATGCACAAATACTTACCCCTGTGTTACAGTTGCCTGCAGCGTGCGGTACAGTCCCAGGCTGCATAGGTTAGCAGCCCAGGAGCACAGGCGGTGGTATAGAGACTGGGTGTGTAGTAGGTGGTACCGCCTAGGTTTGTGTAAGTCACTGTGTGATGTTCACACAATGACGAAATTGCCTGATGACACATTTCCCAGAAGGTGTCCCCGTTGTTAAGGGTTGTGTTGACTGTATATCAGGCAGTTGCTATAGTCAGGCATTTTAATAGTTTGCTTCCCAACTCTCCAAATGTAAAACATAGTAACAAAATTTATACGCCACCAGCATAAAAAGAAGAAACCCAGATGAAGGGAAGTCAAGTGAGAAAAATAAGGGTAATCTACGCCTGAATTGAGGCCATAAAATACTTGTCTTGAGCTGGGGGCACTGCTGTGCACCTGTAGTCCCAGCTACTTGGGAGGCTGCAGCAGTAGGATGGCTTGAGGCCAGGATTTCTGTGCTGTAGGGCACTATGCTGATGGGGTGTCCACACTAAATTCAGCACTAATATGGTGAACCCCAAGGAGCAGAGGACCACTAGGTTGCCTCAGAAAGGCTGAACCAGCCCAGGTCAGAAACAGAGCAGGTCAAACTTCAGGTGCTGATCAGTAGTGAGACTGTGCCTATGAATAGCTACTGCACTCCAGCCTAGACAACAAGAGCTTCTCTCTCAAAAAATAAACAAATTATATATATATATATATTTGCCTTCAAGTTCTGGGTAATTGTAGAGATGGGTCATGAATCAGGTTCTGAGCTTCCCCCCAGGCAAAGAAAAAAGGGAATTGAGATCCATTGAGTCCAGCATCCATCCATTTTAAAACATTTGCATAGGCTGGTGGCTCGCGCCTGTAATCCCAGCACTTTGGGAGGCTGAGGCGGGTGGATCACCAGGTCAAGAATTCGAGACCAGCCTGGCCAAAATGGTAAAACCCTGTCTCTGCTAAAAATACAAAAAATAGCTGTGCACGGTGGCAGGTGCCTGTAATCTCAGCTACTCAGGAGGCTGAGGCAGGAGATTCACTTGAACCCGGGAGGCAGAGGTTGCAGTGAGCCAAGATTGTCCCACTGCACTCTAGCCTGGGTGACAGAGCAAGACTCCATCTCAAAAAAAAAAAAAAAGACCAAAAAGACCACTTTGCGTATAGCCAGGCTCTGGGAGCTATGATGCAGTTCTGAGTTTTGATACCCAAGAGGCTTTTCCTCTTTTTGAGAAGTGTTTCTGAGGAAAGGATGCTGCAGACACTGGGTAGCGCTCGATGCGACTATTACAATGCAGGGGTTAAGAGACCAGAGACCAGGCTCCTCTGGGGTCAGACTGCTGGGTTCAATTTTTTTTTTTTTTTTTTTTTTTTTTTGAGCACCATGTTGGCCAGGCTGGTTTCAAACTCCTGACCTCAGGTGACCCACCCGTGTCGGCCTCCCAAAGTACTAGGATTACAGGTGTGAGCCGCCCTGCCCAGCCACAATTTTTAATTTCATTTTATTTTTATTATTTTTTTTATCTACTGTATATTCACAATGGGTTCAATTTTGGCAGGGCAAGTTGCATAACCTCTCTAAGACGGTTTCCTTATCTGTAAGTTGCAGGTAATACATGATGCCTACCTGGGCAGGTGATGGTGAGGATGTAATGAAGTCACCCATTTGAAGTCCTGAGCACAATGCCCAACACAATAAGGTCTCAATGAATGTTAGTTTTCGTGGGGGCATGGTGGTGACTATTGCATTACTAATATCACCTCATTTAATCCTGCCAATAACTCCAGGGATGATTTTTTTCCCCATTACAGATGGGAAAATAGACCTTAGACAGATTAGATCACCACCCGAGATTACAGAAAGTGGCAGAACTGAGATATTAGCATATCTGTGCAACAATTCTTGCCCCTGACTTTCCTGCCACAGCCGTCAGATTCCTCTCTGAAGGAAGTAGGCACTAGTCATCGCTGGTGGCTTAACCAGTAAGAAGAGAGGCAGGTGACCCCACCCAAGGCTCCAGGCTCCCCGCTCTGCCTCAGACCATGGGAGTCAGCCTGGTCGCTCTGCTGTGCCCCAAATAGGGCAGACCCCAACCCAAGCCCCTGCCCCCTCTCCCTGCCCTTACGGCTGAGGCCGACAGCTCTGAGTCACTGCTCTGGTTGACAGAGGTGTGTCCTGGCCTGCCCAGACCTTTGGACCCATCACGATGAGGCACGTGTGGCCAGATGGTGCCCTGCCCATCTCGAGGGGCACCATCCACCTGCCACAAGGCAGCCTGGGAAGCACACAGGGATCTGGGCTATGACGATCCAGGTCCAGGTCTAGGTCCAGGGTTGGCTTCACGGAGCAGCAGGCAGCCAGGCAGAGTGGGACTAAGAGCCCAGGATATGGACTCAAGTGACCTGGGTCCTAATCCCCACCACCACTTACCTGCTGGGGGCTTGGGCAAGGTACACCACCTCCCACACTATTGGTGTCCTTGTCCAAAATGGGCCTAATGCAGACTCCACCTCATAGGCCTGTTCTAAGGAGTAATGATGTAATGCATGACAGCACTTAGCACAGAGTAAGTAATGGGGTGATGTGCACGAGGCGACAGTTTAGATACACATCAGGGTTCCTTCACAGCCACTGTCTGAAGTGTGTGCCTTAAAATTTTTTTTAATCAGAAAAACTTCTCGGCCGAGTGCGGTGGCTCACGCCTGTAATCCCAACACTTTTGGGACACTGAGGCAGGCAGATCACTTCAGGCCAGGAGTCCAAGACCAGCCTGGCCAACATGGTGAAACGTAGAACATGGTGAAACCCCATCTCTACTAAAAATACAAAACTTAGCCCAGCGTGGTGGCGTGCACCTGTAGTGCCAGCTGCTCAGGAGGCTGAGGCACAAGAATCGCTTGAACCTGGAGGTGGGGTGGGGGGAGATTGCAGTGAGCCGAGATTGCACCACTACACTCCTGCCTGGGTGACAGAGTGAGACTCTGTCCCCACCCCCCACAAAAAAAGAAAAGGAAAAAAGAAAACTTCTCATTACCTGTCTCTGCTATGTGCACCCACTGCATACTCAGAAATTTATCAAGTTGAAATCAAGCGTTAGCTTGCCCTGAAGTTAGGCAAGTCTCTCCTTCCCTCTGAGCCGCCATTTCTTTACCTGTAATACCTCTGACGCCCACCTAGTGCACAGCCTTAGAGGTGACCCGGAGAGTCTGGGCTGAGAGTGACTCTGGTGTGAATGCATTCAACCCCTCAACTTCCCAATCATCCCCGGAAGTTGCACTTTGCAGGGTACAAAGTCCCTTCGTTGCTCTTACAGACAAGGAACCAGCCCAAGAATATCCCCGTGATGTCACAGACTCACAGCCTCCCACCCTAGAAAGAACTCGGGGCTGGGCGCGGTAGCTCACGCCTGTAATCCCAGCACTTTGGGAGGCCGAGGCGGGCGGATCACCATGTCAGGAGTTCAAGACTAGCCTGGCCAACATGGTGAAACCCCATCTCCACTAAAACACAAAAAATTAGCCGGGCGTTGCGCCATACACCTGTAACCCCAGGTACTCGAGAGGCTGAGGCAGGAGAATCGCTTGAAACCGGATGGCGGAGGTTGCAGTGAACCGAGATCGCGCCACTGCACTCCAGCCTGGGCGACAAAGTAAGACTCCGTCAAAAAAAGGAAAGAGAGAAAGAAAGAAAGAAAATAAAGGAAAAGAAGAAAGGAAATAGAAGAAAGAAAAAAAGGAAGAAAAAAAGGAAAGAAAGAAAGAAAAGAAAAGAAAAAAGAAAGGAAGGAAGGAAAAGAAAGAAAGAAAGAAATTGGGGACCCATGAGACCAACTTCTCCCCACCCCAGAGCCTCCTTCCAGGGCACTCATTCCCTCTAAAGCTCTCCTTTAGGTGGCTGTTCTGTCAACAAACGGCAGCTTTAAAAACTAAGTAGACCCGGAGGCAGCCGCTCCACCGTCTCATCAGCCCTCCGCAGAGGAGCTAAACCTGGGCTAAGCAGACGACCTGGTTGTGCAGCTTGTGGGAGGCGCGGTCTGCAGGGACTACCACCACCTGCATGCCAGCCAGAGCGCGGCCCGCGGCGGGGTGCAGCCTTCGCTGGCCTAATGCGCCCAGGAGGCGGGGACGGTGGGGCTACCCTCCGGCGCCGGGACCCGCGGCCTGAGCTGGTGCCGGCCATGCCCTGGTCCAGGTTGGCTCTAGCGATGGGGACACAGGGGTTGCGGGGAACGTAATCCCTCCCGATGTCTCGGCCGGCCGCCTCGTTTTGTTGTCACTGGAGTCTCCCATCCTCCTCCTGAAGAAGGTATCATCAATTCCATTCCGCAGACTTGAAAAGTGAGGGTCAGAGAATGGCCCAAAGCGGGGAACCAAGATCTGCTGACCCCAGACAGCTATTAGCTACCTCCGCGCCCACCGGGGCTGGGGGAGGGGACACACTCTCCGGGAAGCGAAGATTCTCTGAACGACCATGGGGTCGTATTGTTTCCCTTTTCACAGGCGAGAAAACGAAGTCACTCCTCCAAGGTCACGGAGGCTGCCAGGCCCCAGGCGCCGCGCCCTTACGCACCCCTGGCCGACTGACGCTGGGCGGGCGCGGCCGAAAGAGGCTCCGCCCCGCACGCGTGGTGCGGTCCAGGCAGCTCCATTCGCGCGGGGCCGGGGCGGGGGTCCTGGAAGCTGCGCAGCCGGTGTGGGCCCCGCGCGCCCGGGTGGTGAGGTCCGCGGACGGTTCCCCTGCACCGGGCCGGAGAGGGGCCGCGGCAGGCGGCGCGCGGGCCGCAGCCGCACCGCGAGCCTGGGCTGCAGCGGGAGCGACGCGCCGGCCGCCGGGTGGGGGTGGAGCCCCGCCGCGGCCCCAGGTAACGCCGGGCCCGGACCCTGCGCCGAGCGCCCCGGGCGCAGGGCCGGCGAGCACGCGGCGGTAGGGGGCGGCCGCGGGCCGGCGGAGGAACGCACGCGGGGTCTTCCCGCCAGGCCTCTGCCGGCGCCCGCACGGCGGGAGCTCGCAGTCCCGGGCCCGGCAGCGGGAGCTGCGCCGCTCTTCTCCCCGTCCGCTAGGTCCAAACGCCCCAACTCGGGGAGCCCCGGGGAACTCCGAGCCCCCGCGTGCCCTGCGCCCCGCGCACGTCCCGACCGCCACCCCCGGCGAGTCCCAGCTGCGGCTGGGACCCAGGCGTCCGGCACCGCGAGCCGGAGACGCGCTGCAGTTCTTTGGCCTCGCCATGTCCGTCCTAAACATTTCCCCGACGCCCCCTGTGCCGGCCGCCGGGGAGCCAGAGCGGCCTAAGCCCTGCCCTGGAGCGGCTGCAGGTCCGGGGAACAGACCGCTGCACTTCAGCGCCGTCCTTACTGCATTCTGGATGTCGGAACGCTGCGGGGTCCGGAGAGAGTCCGTGTCTTGCCCAAGGTCACACAGCTTCCGTTGCCTGAAAGCCACTAAGCTCGAGTCGAGCTGGTGCCGGGGGCTGGGAAGTGAGGGAAGGAGGACGAGTAAGATGGAGGGACAGTGGGGGATTCGGGTAGACTTGTCTTCCTCGATCTTCCAGGGTCCGCACTCCTGCAGCCCTCGGTTTTCATCACTGAACAATGTGACGGTTCCTGCCCCCTTTGCAGAACCTGGGGGTTCCAGCAGTGAGAACTGCGGGTTGGGGAGGAGGAGTCAGAAAGGGGAACGCCCCCACGCCACACCCACACAGCGCACACCTCCAAATGCGGACCCAGACCCGAAAAGTTGGCCGGCACACACACACAGAACCACTGTTGACCCACCGAGAAGGATGCTTTCACCCAGCTTCACACCTGGACAAACAGCCTCACAGACCTTACTGACTTCCCCAAGGTCACAGGCTAACCAGAGGCAGGGCAGGCTGGCCTCAGGGGCTCTGTCTCACCCCTCAGTGTAGTCCTTTCGCCCCAGTGGCCTAGTTATTATCGATCACCCGATTTTACAGACGAGAGATTGAGAAGGAGAGGAGCCATAGAACTCACCCAAGGTCTCAAAACTGGAGCCCGAGTGCTGAGGGCCAGAGCCCCAGACGGGGAGCACCTCTCCAGACGCCCTGCCCTCACCGCCATCTGCACGCACAGCCACTTAAGGGAGCCAGAACTCGGGGCTCAGGGCTGTTGAGGCCAGCCCTGAGTGGAAAGGACTTAGCAGGGCTTTGTCTACTCCCTCCCTGGTGTGTGAGGCTCTGGGCCCTGCTCTGATGCTCTGGTGTCTGGGAGGTGTGAACCCTGAGCTGGCTCTGCCAGGCTGTGCTGTGTCCCTGGCTGGTACCCCAGCCTCTGTGTCCCGCCAGCTCCATCCTGGGAAGGTGACTGGGCCCTGCCTCTTTGGAGGGAGGTTTGAGGGGCCTTGGAAGAAAGAAATGGGGTACTTTCTGACTCCGAGGGAGAGAGGCAGCCAGTTGTCCAGGCTCTGGGGTAGGTGAGAACCCTAGTCGGGCAGGGCCCCAGCAGGAAACATGGCCACGCCCTCCTCTTCCTGCCTCTGCTTGCCCAAGCCCTTCCCCACTGCAGAGGAGGCCTGGGGGAGGAAGCCGGAATGTGGCATCAAGTGCTTTGTGCTGGAAGGATCAAACTTTGGATCCCTCTCAGGCTCCTGTCCACTCTGATCTGGAGCCATCCACTAGTCCCTGAGCCTCTGTGTTCTCCCCTTTCCCTGGGGACATCTGCATTTGGTTGTTCAGCAACCACGGGGCCCCTGTGTTGGCATTCATGGTTCACAAACCACACTTAATGTGAGATGAGAATGGGATCCCAGGTTTGCCCCTTGATGGCTGCATGACACTGGGTGAGTCCTGTCACCTCTCACCTCATCTGTAAAATGGGGCCAATGCTGGTGGCCAGCTCTTAGAACATGATGAGGAGAGGATCAGGATAGGACTTGCCCAGAGCTTGTAGAAGACTCTAGGACCCCCATTTCCCCCATAGAACCTCACAGCAGATGCCAGAGCAGAGGTGGGCCACTCCCATCTGAGGTTTCACACTTCTGGGCTCTGTGGCGAGGGTCTGCCCCTCCATGGCTCTGAACCGCTTTCCTCTGTGCGATGAAAGTAAACGACGTCTCCCTTTGAGGGCTTGGGGTACGGGGAGAACAAGGCTCGCACAGTAGGTGTGCAGGCCACGTCCCCACAGCAGGGTTCCAAAGCCTAAGATCCATCAGTGACCCTGAGGAGGGATTCGAAGAAAAGTTCAGATTTCAGATTTCTGGCTTCATTTGAAAAACTGGAAAATTCTGGGAAAATTGTGCCTCCCTTCCCACTTGCTCCAGAGTGATTTCACATCCACGCGTGAAGGTTTTTCAGGTTGGTGGAGATGTGTTATTGGTCTCTGGCGCTGAGGGGAAACTCAAATGACTGGGGATTTACTGAGGGTTTCCTGGGGCAGGGACAGGGCAGCGGTTTCCTGGTCCTGCAGGAGAAGAGGCAGATCCAGAGCCCCATTCCTGGGCATCCGCCACCCAGCGTGAGCCAGGTCCTGGACTGGGTGTTGTGGGCCCTGCTGGGAGCAGGGGCAGCAGTCACATGGAGATGGTCTTCTGCTCTCATGATGCAATGTGATGGTAATCCTAACACTGAGGAAGCCAGCGCAAGCCGGCAGGGCAGGGAAGGCACCATCCAAGGGAGTGGTCTTTGAGCTAGTCCCAAAGCATAAGCAGGATTTTGCCCAGTAAGTAGGGGATATTGAGGACATATTAAGCAGGGAGAATGCCACAGTCAGAAGCTTGGTGGCTTAAAAGTACAGGATTAGATTGTGGCTGGAGGGTCGCTTTCCTGGGGTGGGGATGGAAAAGGTGGTCTTACTGTGTGGCCTCAGACAAGTCACTTCACCTCTTTGAGCCTCAGGTCCTCATCTGTAAAATGAGGCTGGGGTACCCGTATATGCCAGTGAAGGCTGGACGTCTGCGCACTTAAAAAAGCCAAACCCCTTCAGCCAGGAGGGGAATTACTGAGTGAGACACACAGCGATTGTGACAGGACTGTGTGCAAATTAAATGGCATGAGGTAAAGGCTGGGGTGCATCTAGCTCTGCGTTCAAAAATGGGGGATTCAGCACAGCTGGAGATGTCACAAGCAGCTTCCTGTAAAAGGTGAGTTAGGAACAGAGCTTCAAACCGCCGAAAAGTGAAATGGATTGGCAGAAAGGAAAAGAGAGGGCATCCCAGGCAGGCAGTCTAGCCTGAGCAAAGGCAGGAAGGTGGCAGGGAGAGAAAGCCAGACGAAGCACCACCATGGTGTGAGAGGAGGGACTGGGGAGAGGCGAGCCTGAAAAGTTCGGGCAGGAAGAGCTTGTTAAGTGCAGCCCCAAAACCAGGCTTCCATGCAGTTGGCAGTAGGGAGCCACTGTAGGCCCTATCCATAAGGACAGGCAGGCAGTAATCTAACAAATATGTAGGTACCTTCAAATGTGGGGAGGGTTTTTTTTTTTTTAAGACGGAGTCTCGCTCTGTCACCCAGGCTGGAGTGCAGTGGCGCAATCTCAGCTCACTGCAACCTCCACTTCCCATGTTCAAGCGATTCTCCTGCCTCAGCCTCCTAAGTGGCTGGGACTACAAGTGCATGCCACCATGCCCAGCTAATTTTTGTATTTTTTGTGGAGACAGGGTTTCACCATGTTGGTCAGGCTGGTCTCAAACTCCTGACCTTGTGATCTGCCCGCCTGGATCTCCCAAAGTGCTGGGATTACAGGCGTGAGCCACCGTGCCCGGCCATGGGGAGGGTTTTCAAATTGCTTTTATGTGGTGGGGAAAACAAAAGGTTGAAGGAGACATTGGAGGTAAAGGAACAGTTGATGATAAGGAACTGGGTAAAGACATAACCTTGTATAGCCACACTTATTCTCATGCACATGTAATTTTTAACTGTGATGGATAGAGTTTGGCGTTCCAGGGAGCATCGATAGCACTGCATCATGACCTTGCTCTTGTGTTGCTTAGAGATCTGCCGACAGCCGGCTCAGTTCCATCTTCAGTCATTGTGTTGCACAGTGATACGATCATTGCTGGTCTAAACATTGCCATAAACATGTCTGTTCCCCAAGCTGAAAGGGGGTTTCTGATTCTAAGGGAACAAAAGGTTTTCTGGCTTAAAAGACTTAAGACATAGTCTTTATAATAGCTTTCTTTAAAAATTTCAGTGGGTTATAATGCATAGGGTTTTTAAAAAAGAGCTAATGTGCAATATATACAATAGTCTATCCTACTGACCCAACTTCTCCCTTCCAGTTCTCCCTAAGGACAATTGTTAATCAGTTTCCTGTATACCCTTCCAGAAATATATGCAGATGTGGCATATGTCCAATTAAAGAAACCTGATACATACTGTTAGAACTGTTCAGCATCTTGGTTTCAATTTTTATATAAAATTTAGGATTACGAAATATACCAAAGCAGCATAGAAAATGAGCCCCCCATCCCCCTGCCCCATGGCCCACCACACAGGTTAACAGATGTTAACATTTTGCATTGGCGCCTTGTTTATGGCTGTCTTGGAGATAGCCCCGTGTCGCCTCCAGCTGCCTCTTTGTGGTAACTGCCCAAGAGTCGTTATTGATTATATGCATGCACCCAATATTCATTATTCGACCTGTTCCAGCTCTTGGATATTTAGCAAATTACTGATTTTCTGCTTATATAATTGTGGTGGAGGTAATACCCCATTTTGTATAAATTTTGCCCGGGTGGGTGGGCTTCGAGGCAAAGGAGAACGAGGCTCGGCTTTGGATTAGGTTCACACTCCTGCTCCGCCACACTTCTAGTTGTGTGATCTGGAGTAAGGGAAGGCCCTCACTTTCCCCATCTGTAAAATGAACTGGCTATAGTAATCCCTCCGTCTCATAGCTGCTGAGAGGAATAGAAAACTAAAGTATAGACGCTTCACTGGGCTTAGTTCCCAGTTTCCCTGGCTAGGGAGGTCTCCGCGGGGACACCAAACTCTCAAGCCCAGCCTAGCAGCTAGAGCGCCCAGCGCCTGCACTTTTGCTTTAAACTACAACCTGTTCCCCGCCTCTCTTCCTCCACCGCCACGCTGGGGGCGTGGCGGTTAAATGTCTCTGTGACGTCAGCGCGAGCAGGGCCAATCTCCTTGCCCGGCAGACGTTAGCTCGTTTGCATGGGTGGTCCGCCATTGGTCTGTTGGGCAATCTGGGCCGTACCAGCTTTTTAAAGACGCCGTGTAGTATAAACAAGGAGAAGTGGGGCGGCCGGGCCATGATGTCAGCGCGGTGCTGCAGCTCTTGGGGGTGACGTCATCTCCGGGAAGGTGGCCGGCCCAGGGTTGTTAGAGCCAGCATAACCACTTGGGCCGCTCTCGCCCCGTCAGAGGTCAGACCCATTGCACTTCAGTATCTCAGGCGGCACCCTGTCCCCGAGGAGGGGACCATGACACAGTAAGTCCGTACTGCCGGTTCTCCTGGCGGGACCCATTTCTTCGGCAGGGAAACTGAGCCTCAGAGGCGCGAGTAGTTAGCGAGTTTGCATAGCAAGTTCGAGTTGCAGCCGATCGGTTTTGCCCACCCTGGGGTCTCCCCATCTTTATGTCAGGATATGCGGCCCCGCCCCTTGCTTTTGACTATGGCTGCGGTCCCTTTAAGTGCGAAGGTGGGGGCGAGGAGGAGGTTAAAAAAATTCAAGATGGTGGCCCACTAGTCACGTGCGTGGTCGCGGCGAGTGATTGGCTCTCAGGGCGGAGCTCCCGGCGCGGGGCGGGGCCCCTGCGGGCTTGCAGCGGGCTACTGTTTGCCGGAGCCTCCCGGCGCGCCCCCGCGAGCCCCCTCCCGTCTGGCGCGCGACCCCGCCGCTTCGAATGTTGTGAATCAAATGTGGGGTTTGTTACATTCCGCTGCCGCCGCGGACAGTTCTTAAAGGGCCAGCCGCCGGCTGCCGCGCAGACCCAGCTGCGTCCTGCGCCGCCTCCCGCTCCCTGAGGGCCTGGGCCGAGAGAGACTGATCGCGCGTGGGCCTCGCGAGGCAGACGCCGTCGGGCGGACAACAAAGAGAGAGGCCCCGGAAGGAGCCGGGCTGCCCCCGGACCCGGGGGTGGGGAGGGGAGCACATTGTTCCGCAGGGCGGGAGCTCTTAAAGGATCCAGACAGGCACCCCCCCCCTCCCCCGCCCCCTGCCCAGTTTGGCCGTCCTAGATCGGGAACAAAGGAGTCAACGTGTGGCCGGGCGGCCAAAGGTGAGTCGGTGCCAGGGCCCCCAACTTCCTATTCCCCCACCCATGGACCTTCTGTTCCCCTCCCCTGGGAATGGGGGCCGTGATCTAGGTGGCTCCGTAGGGGTTAATCACGGGCGGTCCAGACTGCGGGCAGCGAGACCCCAGGGATCAGGAACCCCCCCCAAGGCCCCCCGTGGCCGGGCCGTATCTCCCCTCTCCTGCAGCTGAGCGCTGCGGTTGGAGAGGAAGGAGCCGCCCCCCTCCCCCTGCGGCCGCCACTTCCTTTGTTGTTGCTTTTGTCTCACGCCGAGCACATGGTCCGGGATCCTCGGCTCTTAAAGTCGCAGCGTTCTGGCCCCTGCGCTGCAGTCTCGCCTCCCGCCCCCGGTGTCCCTCCGAGAGCGGCGCAAAAGAGTAGGAAGCGGACGAGGGAGGCCCCTCTCGGGGCTGTGTCCGCGCCTCGGCCCCCCAGCACTATGCCTGGGGAGGGGTGGCTGGGTAAGCTTCCCAGAGCCCCACAGCGTGCACTTGGCCCGCGTTGGGGAGCCCCCCCTTCCCCAGGACCCTGGTTTCCTCCCCCACTAGTGTGACCACCTGGTTTCTTCTGGACTCTTCTGGTTTTATTTGGGCGCTGTGGGAAGGAAAGATTTCCACCCCCATTTTATAGCTGTGCCAACTGAGGCGCTCAGAAGCAAAGGGATTTCCTTGACCAAGGTCACTAGGGAGTCTTCTCTCCTAGTCTGGTGGTCCGGCCCTCAGCGGCCTCCAGGCACCACACGTTGGGAAGCTCTGCTTGCGCTGGGCAGAGCCTGCTTGTTTCGGGTGGGGTGTGGGGAAGTAGGAAGGGGGGCTTCTCTTCCTGGCTGAGTCTGCTCATGCCCCCAGGGTCTGACTTTGTTTTTATCTGCAAAAGGGAGTGTCTCTTCCTGCAAACAGATCCCTGGGGCTCTTAGACCAAGGTCAGGGTAGGTGCTTGGGGCACTGGACTTAAGGGGTTGGCCGGCTCTCATGGGTGGGTGTGGGGGGTTATGTTAACTGCAAAATGCATTGCGTGCCTGGGGCGGACGGGGCTCAGCGACGGGACTCTCAAGACCCGTTCACACAGAGCTCCGTGATAGGACAGCATGGAGATGTGGACGGGCAGAGCAGTTGTTAGGGGAGGCCACCTGGCCACCCTTGCTATTTGACCTTGAGCAAGTTGCTAGCTCCAACTCTGGGCCTTGCTTGCTTCTCTGTACTACAGAGCTAAAGATGGGTGCCTGAAAGAGAGTGCTCTCCCAGCCTCCTGTATGGCTTGGAGACTCGGGATTAGGTGATTTCCTCCAGCTACTGATGCCACAGGAGTTATGGCTTGGGGGAGTTTGGGCCTAGGAGGCCAACTAGGACCAATTCCGTTCTCTCTGGTCTTGTGGCCTAGAGTAACTTACTTCCTTTCTCTCGGCTCCAGTTTTCTCAGCCATGAAGTGGGTGTAACCCTTCTACGCCACCCCTGTTCCTGGCAGGGCTTAAAGAACCAGGATCCACTCTTACCAGCTGAGGTATTCCCCTAGAGTGGCATATCTGCCTGCTGCCCCGGAAGTGGCACCCTTCAAGCTCTGCTTGAGGTTGGAAATGGAGGTCAGCGTGTCGTATTCGCTAATAATGATCATTCACACCCAAGCTAAGTTCAAACTTTACAAGTTGCTTCTGCTGTTGCCTTGGAGCAGTCCTTGATGGGAAACTGGGAGGTAGTTATTGGGCTGTTCCCATTTTACAGATGAAGATACTGAGGCTCGGGAGGGGAAGCCCTTGCCCACGGTCTGTAGGCAAGAATCTCGCTAGAAGTCACTGTCATGTGTGAGTCTGTGAGGGCTGACATTCTTACCCACGGCTGGAGGCCCTTCTGTCTCCTGGCTTGCTTTCACAGCTCCTTACCACCTTCCCTGCCCTGGGGAGTGGGTGCCTTTGTAGGGGGCTGGCCACAGAGCAGACACCCACAGGCCTGGGCCTCTGCAGGAGTGCCTTGGGCCTGGCACTACTCAGCCATCTGCAAGACATCCTGACATAAGAGGAGCAGTCAAGGCTGCTGGCTTGGTGGCTAGTCATGGGTGCTTTATGGCCAGACTGCTTAGGTCATGCACCTGCGCACTCACGATTCCAGCTGACTGGCCTTGGACCTCACCTCTCTGAGCCTTGGTGTCCTGACCTGCCAGTGTTGCTGGGAGGACTCACCAAGTTGGCGCCGGGGAAACAGCATGGTTATTATGGTGACTGTTCTGCACCAGCAGAACTATGGGCTCCCCAGCTTTCTGAGGTTAGCTAGGGTAGAGATTCCCAAATCTAGCTGTGCTGTGACAACTTCTGGGGAATTTGTTAAACATCTAGGTGCCCTTGTTCCCCATCCCTCCAAAGTGTCTGGTCCAGGAGGACTGGGATGGGCCAGGCATCTGCTGTTTCAGTTATTTGGGGATTTCCTGAGTCTCCCTTGGCCGTTGTTTGCTTGGCTGGTTTGTTGGCAGGAGTTCGGGAGGCTGTGTGTGTAGACATGCCTGTCAGGGTGTGCACTTGGCCCAGGCCAGGGGTCACAAACCCATTCCCCGATGATGGGCAGGCAGAGGTTGGGCCTGGGTGACCTGGAGGGAAAGCTCTCGCTCCCAGTGAGGGGGCCAGGCAGAAACAAGTGGGACCAGGCTTGCCATGAGAAGCCAGGTGTTTTGTAATCTCCCAACTGTCAGTTGTTGGCATTGCTGCCAGACTGGGTGACCTTGGACCTGTGTGATTGGCTCTGTTCCGTGCACATTTCTCACATCAGGCCTGCCCTGAGCTGGACACAAGGTGGTCCCTGGCCCTGCCCACACCCTCTGCTGGTCGGGCCCCGGTCTCCCATGCGGGCTCCTTTTGAGAAGCAGGGCCCAGGCTTGTGAAGTGCAGCACAGAGGAAATGGTTCTTGCCGCTGTTGGCAGGAAGGAACTAGGTGTTGAGCTGACAGTTACACTGGCTCCCTGGCTGTGTCAACAGGGAGGTGACATTGAAAGCTGGGTATCAAGGATGCATAGGAGTTTTGTTAGATGGGGAAGGGATGGAACGAGCCTCCCTGTGGCAGGAACAACAAAGATCTGGTCCTGTTGGACGCATCCTTCAGCTTTGCAGGGCCTGACAGGTTCTAGAGCTTTTCCTGCCAGGGCCTCGTCCCAACTTTGAGTTGAGCGGAACCCTGAGGTTGAGCCAGGTCCCTCGACATCCTCCACCTGGACCCTCATCTCTGACCGGAGGCAGGAGACCCTGCCCCAACCCATTCCTATTCAGCTTCCTCTCTCGGGTTCTTCCTTCCTTTTTTTCTCAGCAGGCACCACCTCCCACTTTGAGGGCTGGGTTGGGGGCCCCAGAGCAAGGGCCTGGCTGCATGCCAGACTCCACAGTCTCCCCAGGCTGACTTCCTTCATCACCTCCCATGAAGCCTGGGGCTGGTCCTCTCCGTCGGCAGCAGAGCACAGGGAGAGGCTTTCTTTGGCCCACCTCCCAGCTTTAACACTTTACGGTGGGGCTTTGGGCAAGTTTCTTCTTGCTGAGCCTCAGTTTCCTCCCCCGTAAAATGGGCCAGCTATACATTCCTTGAAAGGTAGATGAAGTCACTCGTGGATAGGCACAGTGGGAGCAGGTTAAGGAAAGAAAGAATAGTGTCTTGCTTTGGACTGGAAGCCCCCGAGGGCAGGAGCGGGTTAGAACCTCTTGCCTGGCACCAGTAAGAGGAGAACTGGGTCCCAGGCCTGTTTGGAATCCCTGCTGGAACCAGCCAGAGGGAAGGGAGGATGTGGACCCTCCTCAGGAACCCCCAGCTGCCGCCTGGAGGCCAAGTTGTAGCCCCTGGTGTAAGGCAGAGAAAGGTCTGGCCCTAAGCCCCTTTCCAAGACAGGGTGCCCTGAGACCCCGCCCAGCAGGAGCCTACCAGGAACCCACTGGCTTGGAAGCACGCTGGCCAGCTCGCTGAGCTCCGCAACTGAGGGGGACTGGGTCCCATTTCACACAGCAGGAGGGTGAGGCCTGGGTGCTGGCAGGCTGAGCTGTCCTGGCGTGTCAGCACTGGACCCCAGGGCTCGGAGGAGGGGCACGGCTGAACACCATTGGTCCCTGGGGTCACACTGCAGAGGTTTGGTTCTGTCTCCTGACCCCTCATGGCACAAGCGCCTGGACTTCTCTGTGCCTCAGTTTCTTTCTTTTTTTTTTTTTTTTTTTGAGACGGGAGTCTCGCTCTGTCACCAGACTAGAGTGCAGTGGTGCGATCTCAGCTCAGCTCACTGCAACCTCCGCCTCCCGGGTTCAAGCGATTCTCATGCCTCAGCCTCCCAAGTAGCTGGGATTACAGGTGTCCACCACCATGCCTGGCTAGTTTTTGTATTTTTAGCAGAGACGAGGTTTCACCATGTTGGCCAGGTGCCTCAGTCTTCTTGTCTCCTTGCCTCCTAGGGTTGTGAGTCCCGGCCCAGCCCCTCCACCCCCCTGCCCCCCCGATGCGACCATGGGCTCTGGCAGTGACTAGGTGGCCACCCTCCGCCCCCGTGGGCCAGCGGCGATTCTCTGCGGGACCTGGCAGCACCCCGGGCCAGCTCTGGGGAAGGTAGGAAGGAGCCTCCCAGTCCTGGTGCTGGGGCATGGGGGCCAGCAGGGGTGGGGCGCAGGGCCCTGAGCTGCCTTCCCTCCCCATGGGGGGAGTCACCCTGGCTTCTCTCCCTGCTCTGTGCACGAGTGGCCCCCCTCAGTCCTATCGGGGCCTCCTCTCTGTGGTGCAGCCCTGGCCTCGAGGGCCCCCTGGCCAGCCCGCCTGCCCGGGATGAGCGCTTACCCTCCCAGCAGCCGCCGTCCCGACCTCCACACCTCCCCGTAGAGGAGCGCCGAGCCTCGGCTCCTGCCGGCGGGAGCCCCCGAATGCTGCACCCAGCCACCCAGCAGAGCCCGTTCATGGTTGATCTCCACGAGCAGGTAGGCAGAACCCCATCCCCTGTGCCCCTGGCCCTGTGAGCCAGTCTGAGAGGCAGAGGCAGCAAGGCCTAGATTTCACCTAGCTTGCTTCATTTCACGTTCCAGGGAGGCATTATTGGCCCTGCTTTACAGGTAGGTAAACTGAGGCCCGGGGAAAGGGCCACACTGGGTGACTAGCAGAGCTAGATTCCCACGGGGCTTTCTCTGCCCCGGGGGCCTGGGAGTAGAGGCACAGTCTGGTCTGCACTGAGGTAGGCCGCCGTGGAGAAGGGAAGGGAGCCGGCAGCTGGATGTGGCAGGATGATTTCTCCTGAGAGTAGCCCTCGCGGTCAGCTTCCTTTTCATACTTTCCCGGCGTTCTCTCCACCCACAGGTGCACCAGGGACCTGTCCCTCTGTCCTACACGGTCACCACAGTGACGACCCAAGGCTTCCCCTTGCCTACAGGCCAGCACATCCCTGGCTGCAGTGCCCAGCAGCTCCCAGCATGCTCCGTGATGTTCAGTGGGCAGCATTACCCCCTCTGCTGCCTCCCGCCCCCGGTGAGTGAGTGTTTCTAGCTCCTCCTCCACCAGCTGCAAGCCCCAGGCACAGGCCAGCGGCTCAGCGGGCCCAGGGCAGCCCTGAACTGGGCTGAGCTATCCAGCCATCCAGGCTGTCAGAGCGCCTGCCTGGCCTCCCCAGGAAAGCATACGCGTGTTCACATTTGGTAATAGAGTGTTTCAAGGTTCAGGAACCTTCCAGTACCCCTGTACCTGCCTCACAGCTTGGCAGAGGCCCAGGAGTTGAGGCTGTGGGCCTTAACAGTGGAGTGTCCTGCCTGGGTGGCCTAGGACAGGGATGGGCCTTCCACAGGGTTTCTTATACAGACCCTGGAGCTGCTGGGTGTGTGCCCGGTGGGGGCCTTTTGCTGGGTGGCATGGCGTAGACCTGGCCCAGAGCCCAGGAGAACGTTCTCAGCCCCCTGCCCCCTCTCTTGGCAGCTTATCCAGGCGTGCACCATGCAGCAGCTGCCTGTGCCCTATCAGGCCTACCCCCACCTCATCTCCAGTGACCACTACATCCTGCACCCCCCACCACCGGCCCCACCCCCCCAGCCCACCCACATGGCGCCCCTGGGGCAGTTTGTGTCTCTGCAGACCCAGCACCCTCGGATGGTGAGTCGGCATGGGTCCGATGCTGGAGGGAGATGGCGTGGGGGGAGGCAGGGTGAGGACAGCCTCGTCTCACTGACTTGCTGACCCGGCGCTGGTTCTTCCAGCCCCTCCAGCGGCTCGACAACGACGTGGACCTGCGTGGGGACCAGCCCTCCCTGGGCAGCTTCACCTACTCCACCTCTGCGCCTGGCCCAGCCCTTTCCCCGTCGGTGCCCCTGCACTACCTGCCCCACGATCCGCTGCACCAGGAGCTGTCCTTTGGTGTGGTGAGTGCCACCCCGACCCCCACCTGGGCTCCAGGGCAGCTGGGAGGCAGACCCGCTGGGCCGACCTGCATCTGGGCTCCCAGGCAGCTGGGAGGCAGGCCCACCGGGCTGACTTGCACGTGGGCTCCGGGGCGGCTGGGAGGCAGGCCTGCTGGGCTGACTTGCACCTGGGCTCCGGGGCGGCTGGGAGGCAGGCCCACCGGGCTGACTTGCACGTGGGCTCCGGGGCGGCTGGGAGGCAGGCCCACCGGGCTGACTTGCACCTGGGCTCCGGGGCGGCTGGGAGGCAGGCCCACCGGGCTGACTTGCACCTGGGCTCCGGGGCGGCTGGGAGGCAGGCCTGCTGGGCTGACCTGCACCTGGCCCCTCTTGCAGCCATATTCTCACATGATGCCACGGAGACTGAGCACCCAGAGATACCGCCTGCAGCAGCCACTGCCCCCGCCGCCCCCACCCCCACCCCCACCACCCTACTACCCCAGCTTCCTGCCCTACTTCCTGTAAGTATCCGCACATCCGCCCCAGGTCCCTGATGCCCTGTTCTCCTGGAACCTCCAGTGGTTAGACCTAAACACAGCTCCAGGGGCCCCAGGGCCTCTGAAGCCACCTGGCGTTCCCCCCTTAACCTGACAGGCACGCCAGCTGGGCTCCCTTCCCCGCTGCAACGTTCTGGGCTCTGTTTGCAAGGAGGGAGTCAGGAGAGCGGCTCTGTGTGCCCCACTCCTGACCTTGACCCTGGGCCCCCACACTTGTCTCTCTCTAGCTCGATGCTGCCAATGTCACCAACAGCAATGGGGCCCACCATCAGCCTGGACCTGGACGTGGATGATGTGGAGATGGAGAACTATGAGGTCCCATGGAGCCCCATGCTGGGAGGTGGGGTTTGGGAGACCTGCAGCCCTGGGCGCCGCTGACCCCGTCTCCTGCCCGCATGCAGGCCCTCCTGAACCTGGCCGAGCGGCTGGGAGATGCCAAGCCCCGGGGTCTCACCAAAGCAGACATAGAGCAGCTCCCGTCGTACCGCTTTAACCCGGACAGCCATCAGTCGGAGCAGACGCTGTGAGTACCCTGCCCCACCTCCCACCCCTCTGAACACAGCTGGCTGCCGTGGGACGCCCCTCTCAGGGGAGTCACACTCCACTGAGCCTTCCCATGGCCCTCAGCGTGGAGGTGACGCTCCGCGCCCCTCCACAGGTGTGTGGTCTGCTTCAGTGACTTCGAGGCGCGGCAGCTGCTCCGAGTCCTCCCCTGCAACCATGAGTTCCACACCAAGTGTGTTGACAAGTGGTTGAAGGTAACACTGCCCAGGTCTGCTCCTGGGTATTCCTCATGCAGTGACGGGGGGATGGGCTGGCCTGGGCTGTTTCCCTCCTTGTCCTTGTCATCATCTCGGAAGTTCTGGCTCCAGCGGACCAAGTCCCCCCAGGTGGCTGCACAGATGTGGTGGGTTGGGGCTGGTGAGAGCAACGCCTGACGTGCATGTTCCCACAGGCCAACCGGACGTGTCCCATCTGCCGGGCCGACGCCTCCGAGGTGCCCAGGGAGGCTGAGTGAGGCCACGCAGCCGCCTGCCCGGGAGAACCCTGCCTGAAGCTCTGGAAACTTGTGGGTGGGGCCCAGGGAGGATGGGGAGGGAGTGGCCCAGGCCTGCCCCTTCGCTCCTGCCTGCATTTCCAGAGCTGGTGCCAGGGTCAGCCCAGCGAGGAGTCCCTGCAATAAGCCCCTGCATTTGCCAAGCTCCAAAGACTCCCTCCCTAGTCTGCCTGCCTGCCCGCCCGCCACGGAGCTGCCTGAGTGTCCCTGATCGGGTCTCCCTCCTGTGCACCCTCAGGTCCCTCCTTTTCCTGCTGGCACTGAGTGCCAGGGGTCCGCTCCCTCAGTGGGGCCGGTGGAGATCCTTGGCCCCAGGATGGGCAGACAGAGCACCATCCTGGGTCAGAAGGTCTCATGCTCTGAAATGGCGTGCCCTCTGCCCAGGTGGCACTGCCAGGTGCGTAGACAGACGGTGTCACGAGCCATTTCCTGAGCCCCAGGGCTGAATCCCCCCTCCTTGACCCCGAACAGTGAACTCAGGCAGCTGGCTCTGTGTTGGCTGCTGTGAGGGCTGAGTCTGGTTCCCTAGGGGACCCTCATCCCAGGAACAACATTCCAGCCCCACCCTCAGGCTGGAGGGCGTCCCAGCCTAATCCCGAGCTGGGGCACACGTATCCTGAGGGGCTTGGGCCATACGGGGAGAGGGAGCCCTGTGTTCCCGGTGGTTGTCCCTCCCAGGGATGCAGCCAGACCCGTGCCCAATCTCCTCTCCCTCTGTTGTTTTGCATGAACGTGAGGAGCAGCAGTTTTTGTTCATTCATTTGGCCCAAAATCACGTGTAGGATTTGGGGATGTGGATATTTAAGACAATTTCTTTTTTCTTTTGGTTTAATAGGGGCGGGTATAGGGACCAACTGGGACCGAGTGCCCAGGGGGCCGAGCACGGTCATGCTGGCCGGCCTGCATGCATGCGTGTGCCGGGCTGGGCTGGGCGGCCGGCGGTCGTGGGGCAGGGTTGGGGGTCTGTGCTCAGCTGATAACTGCCATGCACTGTACTGCACACGTCCCTAGAGCCTACCGGGACCCGACGCTTTTCAGGGCATTTCTCCCTCCAGCCAGGGCCCAACTCCCACCTGCCTGGGCGAATCTCCTCCAAGGAAGTCCCAGGAGGATGGGGACCAGGAAGGCTGTGGACCCCCATCTCCAGGGGGCCTTCCCAGCCTGATCCCTGTCCTCCAAGTTCTGGAGGAGGCCGCTGTAGGGTCTGGCTGAGCTTCCCACCCACTTTCCCTGGTCCCAATCCTTTCTTGTCCTATACCCAGCTGGGGTTGCTGCCCTGAACGAACTGCGTGTGGGGCCGGCACATCCTAGCAGGCAGCCCCTGGCGCCTGCTGCCTCAGGGATGCTCCAACCACCCTCGTTCTCCTCGCAGTGGCCCTGGCTCCCACCTCCCGCCCCAGCCTGCCGTGGGGCCCGTCAGCCTGGTCCCACCCCCATGGAGAACCCAAAGTCTTACTGTATATAACTCCAGGTGACGTTTCTATATTTATAGCAGTGTTGAAAACCCACGTGTTTTACACAGAACCACCCTCTCCAACCCCTCCCTTCCCGACCCCAACAAAACGTTTTCAAACCCCTTACAGTTCCTGGGGCAGGCGGAAACAGGCTCACAGATTGTGTGTCGGCTGCAGCAGTGATTCCAACAAGCAGCTATTGGGGGGGAAACACAGCATTTAAAAAGATCATCATTAAAAAACAAGATTTATACAACAATTACTTAGGATGTTTGTGATCTGCCGACCTTGCTATAGATGCCATGTTACCAATGATTTCCTGTGGTGGGGGCTTGCCATTGTTTACTCTCTTATTTACCAACTTCTGGCCTAGGCATGACAGTGGGCACCTTCCCCCAGCCCTGGCTGGGCCCAGCGCCTGTGTTCTGTGTTAGAAAGGTTTTATATATATATAAAATTACATATATATGTAGAAATATATGTAATTTTGGGGGCCCTGTTCCTTGCACATTTTACAGTTACCTCATTTTTCCCATGTATGTATTTGAGAAAATGCTAATATATAGAGAAAAAAATGGTTCTTAAAGCTTAAATGTGTGGTTTTTTCCATTCCATGGGATTCACATTGGTTTGTAGCATTTAACATAACTAGTATGTTGTATTATATATATGTGTATACTGATTGAAATTTTTAACAGATTTGTACTTTTTTTAAAATGAAAGTTGCTAGTTCTGCTTGACCAAGTAGTGCAATCATTATTTTTTTTAATATTGTTGCTGATTTCAGAGGGATATTCACTAATAAATGTATGATGTATACCAACGACCGCCCACGCTGCCTTTGGCTGCCCGTGTCTTTTTGGTGGGAGGTGGGATGGGGATGAGGCTTAACACCTGTAATCCCAGCACTTTGGGAGGCCGAGGCTGGTGGATCACTTAAGGTGAGGTGTTCGATACCAGCCTGCCCAACATGGTGAAACCCCTTCTCTACTAAAAACACAGAAAAATTAGGCCGGGCGTAGTGGCTCATGCATGTAATCCCAGCCGGTGGCTCATGCCTGTAATCCCAGCACTTTGGGAGGCTGAGGTGGGCGGATCATGAGGTCAGGAGATTGAGACCGTTCTGGCTAACACGGTGAAACCTTGTCTCTACTAAAAATACAAAAAAAAATTAGCCGGGCGTGGTGGCGGGCACCTGTAGTCCCAGCTACTCGGGAGGTTGAGGCAGGAGAATGGCGTGAACCTGGGAGGCGGAGCTTGCAGTGAGCCAAGATCGTGCCGCTGCACTCCAGCCTGGGTGACAGAGCAAGACTCCGTCTAAAAAAAAAAAAATTAGCCAGGTATGGTGGCACAAGCCTGTAGTCCCAGCTACTCGGGAGGCTGAGGTAGGAGAATTGCTTGAATCCAGGAGGTGGAGGTTGCAGTGAGCCAAGATTGCACCACTGCACTCCAGCCTAGGTGACAGCGGACTGTGTCTCAAAAAATAAAAATGAATCTCAAGGTAGGTTCTTCTGTCCTGACTGGATCAGGGGGCTCAGGCCTGTCATGAGGAAATAAGGTCTCCCTCATTTCACAACTTGTTTTGTTTTTCCAATAGGAACAAGTCTCACTATGCTGCCCAGGCTGGTCTCGAACTCTTGGGCTCAAGCAGTCCTCCCACCTTGGCCTCCCAAAGTGCTGGGATTGCAGGTGTGAGCCACCGCGTCCAGCCTGCAACCTTGCTTTTCTCTGCGCGGCAGCGCTTGGTAGCCCTTGCTCAGTCTCCTCTAATTTAGCATCACCTGAGGCGTGTGCCACCATGGCCTGCTAAGTTTTTGTATTTTTTTGTAGAGACGGGGTCTCATGTTGTTTCCCAGGCTAGTCTTGAACTCCTGAACTTAAGTGATCTGCCTGCCTCAGCCTTCCAAAGTGCTGGGATTACCTGCGTGAGCCACCGCGCCCAGCTTAAAACACAATGATAACATTTCTAATGGCTCAAAGAAAAATGAAATACTTAGGACTAAATCTAACAAAACGTGCAAGACTTGCATGCTGAAAACTACAAAACTGTAATGAAAGAAATCAGACCTACATAAATGGAAACAAACCGTGTACTTGGATTGGAATATTCAACATAGTAAAGGTGGCATTTCTTCGCAGATCAATCTGTAGGTTTAATGCAATTTCTATCAAAATCTCAGCAAGGGTGGTTGTTTGTTTTTTAAGATGCAGACATGCCTAGGCTGGGCACCGTGGCTCGAGCCTGTAATGCCAACACTTTGGTTTGTTGTTGTTGTTCTTGTTTGTTTGTTTGAGATGGACTCTCGCTCTGTCGCCCAGGCTGTAGGGCAATGGCGCGATCTCAGCTCACTGCAACCTCCGCCACCCGGGTTCAAGTGAGTCTCCTGCCTCAGCCCGAGTAGCTGGGACTACAGGCACGCACCACTACGCCCAGCTAATTTTTGTTTGTTTGTTGTTTTTTTGTTTTTTTTTTGAGACGGAGTCTGGCTCTGTCACCAGGCCGGAGTGCAGTGGCGTGATCTCAGCTCACTGCAACCTCCGCCTCCTGGGTTCAAGTGATTCTTGTGCCTCAGCCTCCCAAGTAGCTGGGATTACAGGCACACGCCACCACGCCCAGCTAATTTTTGTATTTTTAGTAGAGGCGGGTTTTCACCATGTTGGCCAGGATGGTCTTGATCTCCTGACCTCAGGTGATCCGCCCACCTTGGCCTCCCAAAGTGCTGGGATTACAGGCGTGAGCCACCGCACCCAGCCAATTTTTTGTGTTTTTAGTAGAGAGAGGGTTTCACCATGTTGGTCAGGCTGCTCTCGAACTCCTAACCTCAAGTGATCCACCTGCCTCGGCCTCCCAAAGTGCTGGGATTACAGGTGTGAGCCACCATGCCTGGCTCTGTTTTTGTGGTTTTTTTTTTTTTTTTTCCTGAGACAGATTCTCGCTCTGTCACCCAGGCTGGAGTGCAGTGGCGGCGATCTTGGCTCACTGCAACCTCTGCCTTCTGGGTTCAAGAGATTCTCGTGCCTCAGCCTCCCAAATGGTTGGGACTACAAGTGTGGGCCACTACGCCCAGCTTTTTATACTTTTAGTAGAGACAGGGTTTCTCTATGTTGTCCAGGCTGGGCATGAACTCCTGGCCTCAAGTGATCCACCCGCCTTGGCCTCCCAAAGTGCTGGGATTATGGGTGTGAGCCACCACGCCTGGCCTAACGCCAACACTTTGGGAGGCAGAGGTGGGAGAATCACTTAAGGCCAGCCTGGCTGGTCTCAAACAAGACACTGTCTCTACAAGAAAAAAAAGATACAGACATGCTTGTGCTTATTCTAAAATGTATATGAAAAGGCAAAGGAATGAGAGTAGCTAAAACAATTTTGAAAAACAAGAATAGGTTGGGCGTGGTGGCTCACGCCTGTAATCCCAGCACTTTGGGAGGCCGAGGCAGGCAGATCACCTGAGGTCAGGAGTTCCAGACCAGCCTGGCCAACATGGTGAAACCACATCTCTACTAAAAATACAAACATTAGCCAGGCATGGTAGCGGATGCCTGTAATCCCAGCTACTCAGAAGGCTGAGGCTGGAGAATTGCTTGAACCCAGGAGGTGGAGGTTGCAGTGAGCCGAGATCGCGCCATTGCACTCCAGCCTGGGCAACAAAAGCAAAACTCTGTCTCAAAAAAAGAAACAAGAATAGGCTGAGCATGGTGGCTTTTGCCTGTAATCTTTGGGAGGCCAAGGGAGACCGATTGCTTGAGCTCAGGAGTTTGAGATCAGCCTGGGCAACATATGTGGCAAAATCCCATCTCTACAAACAAAACAAAAATTAGCCGGGCGTGGTGGCACATGTCTGTACTCCCAGCTACTTGGAAGGCTGAGGCAGGAGAATCACTTGAGCCCAGGTGGTGGAGGTTGCAGTGAGCCAAGATCATGCCACTGCACTCCAGCCTTGGTGACAGAGGCAGACCCTGTCTCAAAAAAAAAAAAAAAAAAAGAAGAAGAAGAAGAAGAAAAGAAGAGGAGGAGGGGAGGAGGGGGGAGGGGGAGGGGAGGAGGAGGAGGGGGAGGAGGAGGAAGAAGAAGGAGGAGGAGGAGGAGAAAAAAGTGGGAAGATCAACTGTACCTGATTTTAAGACTTACTGTCATCGCTGTATTAGTCAAGACAATGTGGTATTTGCAGAGGATAGAGAAATACATCAATGGAACAGAATTAAGAACCCAGGAATACACCCACACAAGTATAGCCAACTGATTTTTAAACATTCAATGAAGGATATTCTTTTCAACAAATGAACCCCACAACTTACACAAAAATTAACTTAAAATGGGTCATAGATGTAAAGGCAAAACATAAAGCTAGAAGACTTCCAGAAGAAAACAGGTGAAAATCTAGGACTAGGTGAAAAGGTCTTAGACATGACACCAAAAACAATCCATCAAGGAAAAATCTACAACTGGACTTTATCAAGATTAAAACTTTTAATTTGCAAGCCACATATCTGACAAATAACTCACATCTCAGATATGTAAAAAACTCTCAATTTCAACCTGAGAAAGCTGAAAAAAGAAACTCTCAAAAACCCAAAAGATCAACATACATTTTACTAAAGAGATATTTCATGTACTCACAAAAATATGTTCCACACCTTTAGCCATTAGAGAAATGTAAATTAAGCCACAATGAGGTATTTTTTTACACACCTATTAAAAGGAACTAAAATAAAAAATAGTGACTATTGGCCGGGCATGGTGACTCACGCCTGTAATCCCAGCACTTCGGGAGGCCGAGGCAGGGGCATCATTTGAGTCAGGGGTCCAAGACCAGCCTGGCCAACATGATGAAACCCTGTCTCTACTAAAAATACAAAAATGAAGGCCGGGCGTGGTGGCACATGCCTGTAATCCCAGCTACTCAGGAGGCTGAGGCAGGAGAATCACTTGTACCCAGGAGATGGAGATTGCAGTGAGCCAAGATTACGCCACTGCACTCCAGCCTGGGGTACAGAGCAAGACTCCGTTTCAAAAAAAATAGGGGATGGGAAGAGGGTGGCATGACTTTTAAAGAGGCAGCACGAGGAAGATCTTTGCACTGATGGAACAGATCTGTATCTTGATCATAGTGTGGGCTACACACATCCACACGTGATGAAATTTACAGAACTACATGCACACACACCACACACACACACACAAATGGGTGCATGTAAAACTAGTAAAATCTGTAAATTGTAGCAATGCCAATTTTCTGGTTTTAAACAAGATGCTGCCATTTGAGGGAAACTAAGGGCACACAGGTCTCTTCTGTAATGTTTTCGCCATGTCCTATGAATCTTAAATTATTTCAAAATTTTAAAAAGGTCATTTGTGCCAAACCATTCATTCAGCAGAACTGGCCAAGTGCTTCTGCCCAAGCCGGGCACTGTCCTGGGTATCAGGACTACCCCAGTGGACAAGATGGAGCTGCTGTCTCCAGGAAACTGGCCCTCCCAAAGGACGGCGGGACAATATGGAAGTCAGCAATTATTTCAGAGCATAACAAGGGCCGTGAAGGAAAAGTAACAAGCCACAGAGGGTCTGTGGACCCTGACACAGGAGTGGCCTTTCAGAGGAAGCAACCTTGAGATGAGTGAGGCCTGAGTGGTGGGAAGGAGCCAGTCAGGAGACGAGCATTCCACACAGGACACAGAATGAGCAAGGCAGAGGAAGGGCGGTGCTTGAGCGGGAGCTGGGAGCCGGTGAGGTGGCAGAGGGGCCAGGTCCCAGGGCCTCACAAACCCTAGCATTTCATTTGCATCTCGGCATCCAGAGTTGAGGTGTTTATTATATTCTGTTTCTATTTGGAGAAAACGAGGCTTAGAACAGCCTGGGTCTAGGCCCAGCTAGAAAATGGGAGTATCAGGTAGTTCTGTAGTCCCCATTCCTGCATTCCCCAAGTCAGAGAACCCACTTTTGGAAAGCCTGCTTGGAGGTCCCCTGGCTTGGTTGGCCTCTGCACCTCGGAGGCCCCCTCTTCAGCCTATCCCTCCTGCCTCCTGCAAGCTCCAGGTGTGCCCTCCCTTCCCGCCACCACCATCGTCACTGCCACTGCCCTGCCTCAATAGGAAGCCGAAGGCCTCTGGCCCAGGAGGTATCTTTGGGGGGCCGTCAGCAACAGAATACGTTTTTCCTTTATTGAATGAGGAGACTGAAGTCAGACTGAATCCAGCCCTGAATTTAAATCTCCTTTGCCACTTCAGAGGAAGGTGCAGGCTCTCAAAGCGGTGAGTTTGCAAGCTGGGCTCTCCCTCCTCTCCCGTCTTCTCCAGCCTCCCCGCGGGAGGGATGGAGGTGATGGAAGAAGCAGTATCCTAATCTAGTCACACTTTGTCAGTTCCCACCTCTCTCCTCCCTTCCAGCCATGCTCCAACCCTTGTGGTGCCCCAGTGCCCGTTCCAGCATGCAGGGCGTGTGCTCCCTCTGCCCAGGGCCACTCACACTCTTTGTCCTGCCATGCTGCCACCTCACCCCTGCGGGACCCTTCTGCTTTCTTTCTCTTTCTTTTTCCTTCTTTCCTTTTTAGAGGCAGGGTCTCGCTCTGTCACCCAGGCTGGCGTGCAGTGGCGCAATCATAGCTCACTGCAGCCTTGACCTCCCAGGCTCAAGCCATCCTCCCGCCTCAGTCTCCCAAAGTGCTGGGCTTACAGGTGTGCGCCACCGTGCCTGGGCTCTTCTGTTTTCTTGACAGTAAAACTGTTATTACCTTCCTTCTAGTTCCCATTGAAGAAACAGAGGCTCAGAGAAGGAAGATGACTTCCCCAAGGTCACAGAACCAACAAACAGCAGAGCTGGGATTGAGACCCAGGTCATCTGCCCCTGCACCCTTTTGCCCTTTTATCACCTGCTTTGCCTCAAATGCCTTAACGTGTCTCGTCCTCCTGGCAAGCATGCTCCTTTCCCAGAGCCCAGCGCAAATGTCCTCTCCTCAAGCGAATTGCCCTGACCCCTCCCTCAATCCCGAGCAGCCGTGCTTCCACCCTGGGCTCCAGTGCACACCTGCAGGTGGCTCTTCCCTGTGCATCTCACCTGTCAGGATGGATCCCGCTGACTGCCTGCACTCACTAGACCAAAGGCCATCATGTTTGCCATGTTCCCAGACCTAGCAAGAGGGAATGGACACGACGGGCATCAGAGAGTATCTCCTGAATAGGTGACTGAGTAAGCGAGCAAGTGAGTGCCCCGCTGGGAGAGAAAGTCTGTGTGGAGCTGACTCCACCCCTGGGCCCAGGTGCCCTTATACAGGCCCTGCCCTCTCTTTCCAGTGCCCCAGCATAGTGAAATGACCTGTTACCTTTCCCGTTTCCGATTATTCTTTTTTGCATAATGATGACTCCTTACACCCCTCCTCACTGCAGATCAGACAAGCTGATTCACATCCATGGGCCTCTGCTGCTGTTTCTACCTGAGATGAAGGCTCTGGAGAGAGGGCACCCTGGAGAGACCCTCATATTGAAGACTCGTGGCTGATCAGTGCCCAGCATGCTGGCAGGCCTGCCCAGGGGCAAGTGCCAAAGTCCAGCTTGGCTAGATGTTAGCCACATCTGCTGAGCATGGATTTATTTTAGCATATCTATAAACATTTTCTGTGATTTTTTTTTTTTTTTTTGAGACACAGTATCACTCTGTCACCCAGGCTCGAGTGCAGTGGCGCAATCTTGGCTCACTGCAACCTCCACCTCCTGGGTTCAAACAATTCTCCTGCCTCAGCCTCCCGAGTACCTAGGATTACAGGCGCCTGCACCACAGCCTGCTAATTTTTATATTTTTAGTAGAGACGGAGTTTCACCATGTTGGCCAGGCTAGTCTTGCACTTCTGACCTCACGTGATCCACCTGCCTCGGCCTCCCAAAGTGCTGGGATTACAGGCATGAGCAACCGAGTCCAGCCCACATTTTCTGTTATTTTAACCAAAGTATATCCATGAAAAAAGCTGGAAGCTGGCTGGGCACGGTGGCTCACTCCTGTGATCCCAGCACTTTGGGAGGCCGAGGCAGGTGAATCACCTGATGTCAGAAGTTCAAGGCGAGCCTGGCCAACATGGTGAAACCTCATCTCTACTAAAAATACAAAAATTAGCCAGGCGTGGTGCGGGCACCTGTAATCCTAGCTACTCGGGAGGCTGAGGCAGGAGAATCGCTTGAACTCGGGAGGCAGAGGTTGCAGGTGAGCCGAGATAGCACCGCTGCACTCCAGCCTGGGTGACAGAGTGAGACTCTGTCTCAAAAAATAAAAAAATAAAAAAAAGCTGGATGCAAATATGCCAAAATATTAATGTTAATCATTTTGGATGGTGGGAATAATGGCTATTTTTTCTTTATACTTTTCTGCAATTCTCTTTCTTTTCTCTTTTTTTTTTTTTTTGAGACAGAGTCTCACTCTGTCACCCAAGCTGGAGTGCAGTGGCACAATCTCGGCACACTGCAACCTCCGCCTTCTGGTTCAAGCGATTCTCCTGCCTCAGCCTCCTGAGTAGCTAGGATTACAGGCATGTGCCACCACACCCATCTAATTTTTTGTATTTTTAGTAGTGACAGCGTTTCATCATGTTGGTCAGGCTGGTCTCAAACTTCTGAGCTCAAGTGATCCACCTGCCTCAGCCTTCGAAAATGCTGAGATTACAGGTGTGTACCACCGCGCCTAGCCCTCTTTTTTCTTTTCAGAGACAGGGTCTTGCTCTGTTGACCAGGCTGGAGTGCAGTGGTGCTCACTGCAGCTTCAAACTCTCAAGCTCAGGCAATCCTCCTGGCCAGGTGCGGTGGCTCATGCCTGTAATCTCAGCACTTTGGGAGGCCAAAGCAGGCGGATTACTTGAGGTCAGGAGTTCAAGACCAGCCTGGCCAACATGGTGAAACTCTGTCTCTACTAAAAATACAAAAATTAGCTGGGTATGGTGGCAGGCGCCTGTAGTCCCAGCTACTCGGGAGGCTGAGGCAGGAGAATGACTTGAACCTGGGAGGCAGAGGTTGCAGTGAGTGGAGATCACACCACTACACTCCAGCCTGGGTGACAGAGTGAGACTCCATCTCAGAAAAAAGAAAAAAAAAATCAGTTCTCCTCTTCAGCCCTCCAAGTAGCTGGTAGTATAGGAACAAGCCACCATACCTGGCTGATTTTTTTATTATTATTATTATTATTTTTGAGGTGGAGTTACACTCTTGTTGCCCAGGCTGGAGTGCAATGGCGTGATCTTGACTCACCGCAACCTCCGCCTCCTGGGTTCAAGCGATTCTACTTCCTGACTCAGCCTCCCGAGTAGCTGGAATTACAGGCATGCACCACCACGCCAGGCTAACTTTGTATTTTTAGTAGAGATGGGGTTTCTCTATGTTGATCAGGCTGGTCTCGATCTCCCGACCTCAGGTGATCTGCCTGCCTCAGCCTCCCAAAGTGCTGGGATTACAGGCATGAGCCACCATGCCTGGCCTTACTTGGCTAATTAAAAAAAAAAAAAATCTGTAGAGATGGGGTATCACCACGTTGCCCAGGCTTGTCTCGAACGCCTGGGCTCAAGTGATCCTCCCACCTCAGCCTACCAAAGCACTAGGATTACAGGTGTGAGCCACCACATCTGGCTTGTCTACAACTTTTTAATAAAGCTCTGCCCTTGTCTTTTTTTTTTTGAGATGGAGTGTCACTCTGTCGCCCAGGCTGGAGTGCAGTGGCACAATCTTGGCTCACTGCAACCTCCGCCTCCCAGGTTCAAGCGATTCTCTGCCTCAGCCTCCCGAATAGCTGGGATTACAGGCGCCCACCACCATACCTGGCTAATTTTTGTATTTTTAGTAGAGACTGGGTTTCACCATCTTGGCCAGGCTGGTCTTGAACTCTTGACCTCGTGATCCACTCACCTCGGCCTCCCAAAGTGCTGGGATTACAGGCATAAGCCACTGCGCCCGGCCAGTTATTTCTTTATAGGAATGAAAACAGACTTACACAGCTCCCTTCTAATCCCCATGGTGACAGAATTACCTATAACCCATGTCTGATAAAGCCCTTCAATGGCCCTTGGGGCAAAGTGTGATTTCCTTAACCTAGTTCACACAATCTGACCTCAAACTTGTGGGAACAGAGACAAGGGGACTTACTCTGTGTCAGGTACCAGCTGGGGAACTTTTACATTCAAGAAAGTTTCGTAAGAAGCCAATGAAGATGGTAATTAGGAGGTCACAGGTGACCATAAGAGATGGTCAGTGAAGGTGAAAGTTCAATTACAGGAGGCTAAGGAGGAAGTGGAGGCTGGTTGTGTAAACGATCCTGGCAGCAACTTGTGGGTAAACTGGGATTGAGGTTTTGTAAGGGAGGGGACTCCAAACAGTTTGAGAGAGAAGATAAAGAGATCCAAGTGGTTTAGAAGGGGATGATTGCTGGTGAAGGTTCTGAACATGGTGACAGGTGGGAGGCTGAGCACACACTCGTACACCGCTGGCAGGAAGAGAAATGACTTTTCTGGACTACAATTTGGAGATAACACAAACATTAAAAAGAAGAAAAAATTGTATCCCTTTTTGACTAAGCAATTCTAGGATTGTTATTTTTTTCTCCTGAGGAAACTAGCATGGATGTTCACATTCAGGTGTGGGGATGTTTATCAATTTGCTATTTTAGAAAAGAGAAAAAAAGTTTAGCATGTCACAAGATAATTTTCATCAATATATGGTACATCCATTTAGTGAAATGCTGTACAGCCATTTAAAAAGATACAGAAGAGGCCAGGCATGGTGGCTCACGCCTGTAATCCCAGCACTTTGGGAGGCCAAGGCGGACGGATCACCTGAGGTCAGGAGTTTGAAACCAGCCTGACCAACATGGTGAAACCCCGTCTCTACTAAAAATACAAAAATTAGCTGGGCGTGGTGGCGGGCGCCTGTAATCTCAGCTACTTGGGAGGCTGAGGCAGGAGAATCGCTTGAACCCGGGAGGCGGAGGTTGCAGTGAGCCAAGATCGCGCCACTGCACTCCAGCCTGGGCGACAGAGCGAGACTCGAAATAAATAAATAAATAAATAAATAAATAAATAAGATACAGAAGAATGTGTGAACTTGAAATAATGCAGTATTTATATTATATCCCATTTCTGTCTCATTCTGTCGCCCAGGCTAGAGTGTAATCTTGGCTCATTGCAACCTCTGGCTGCTGGGCTAAAGTGATCCTCCCACCTCACCCTCTTGAGTAGCTGGGATCACAGGCCTGTGCTACCATGCCCCACTAATTTTTGTATTTTTTAGTAGAGACTGGGTTTTGCCATGTTGGCCACACTGGTCTCAAACTCCTGGCCTCAAGTGATCCACCCACCTTAGCCTCCCAAAGTATTGGGATTACAGGCATGAGCCAGTGTGTCCTGCTTGAAAAGTTTTTATATGCAATGAAAAGTCTAGGAACATAAACATCAGAATATTAACAGTGGAGACCGGGCACGGTGGCTCACGCCTGTAATCCCAGCGCTTTGGGAGGCCGAGGCCGGTGGATCACTTGAGATCAGGAGTTCAAGACCAGCCTGACCAACATAGTGAAACCCTGTCTCTACTAAAAATACAAAAAAATTAGTTAGGTGTGGTGGTGGGCGCCTGTAATCCCAGCTACTCGGGAGGCTGAGGCAGGAGAATCACTTGAACCCAGGAGGCAGAGGTCACAGTGAGCCAAGGTCGCGCCACTACACTCCAGCCTGGGTAACAGAGTGAGGCTTTGTCTTAAAAAAAAAAAAAAAAGCATTTTAACAATGGACATTCCTGGCCAGTGTGGCATTATGAATTTTTCCTTGTCTTTTTCGTTTCTTTGCATTTTCTAAGTTTTCCTACATGAAAAGGAATTAAACTCAACCAGGAAAACAATTGATAAACCACAACCCCAACCCCTGCAACACACATACACACACACACACACATACACACACACACACACACACACACACACACACTTTAGTAAGAACAGGTAACCTGGGCAACAGTGAGATCCTATCTCTACAATTTTAAAAATTAGCTGGGCATGGTGGTGCCTAGCTACGTAGGAGGCTGAGGCAGGAGCATGACTTGAGCCTGGGAGTTCGAGGCTGCAGTGAGCCACGATAATGCCACTGCACTCCAGCCTGGGTGAAAGAGTGAGACCCTGTCTCAAAAAAAAAAGAAAAAGCAGGCCGGGCACGGTGGCTCACAACTGTAATCCCAGCACTTTGGGAGGCTAAGGTGGGTGGATCACGAGGTCAGGAGATCAAGACCATCCTGGCTAACATGGTGAAACCCCGTCTCTACTAAAAATACAAAAAATTAGCCAGGCGTGGTGGCAGGCGCCTGTAGTCCCAGCTACTTGGGGGGCTGAGGCAGGAGAATGGCGTGAACCCGGGAGGCGCAGCTTGCAGTGAGCCTAGATCACGCCACTGCACTCCAGCCTGGGTGACAGAGCAAGACTCTGTCTCAAAAAAAAATAAAATAAATAAAATAAAAATAAAAAGGAGGAACAGGCAAAACTATGGTGAACAGAAGTTAGAAGAATGATCTCTGAAGGCACTATTGACTGAGCAGGCTCCCAAAGGAACTTGCCTGGGGCGATGGAGGTATTCTGCATCTTGATTTTGGTGTATACATAGTTAAAAAATTATCAAACTGTGGATTTAAAATTTGGGCATTTTACTGTTTGTAAAGTATGTTTCATTAAAAAGATATATCCACAAGACAAAAGGGAAAGAGGAAGTAACTAACATCACTAAACAATTTTTTTTTTCTTTTGAGACAAGGTCTTGCTCTGTTGCCCAGGCTGGAGTGCAATGGTGCAGTCATGACCCATTGCAACCTCCACCTCCCAGGCTCAAGCCATCCTCCCACCTCAGCCTCCTGAGTAGCTGGTACCACAGGCACACGCCACCATGGTCAGCTAATTTTTCCATTTTTTATGGAGACAGGGTTTTGCCATGTTGGCCAGGCTGGTCAAACTCCTGAGCTCAAGCAGTCTTCCCACCTTGGCTTCCCAAAGTGCTGGGATTACAGACGTGAGCCACCGCACACAGCCCACAAAACAATTTTGAGGTGAAAAAGGAAGATAAAGTTCTGTGACGTCAATTTTTCTCAGGAGGCGGGCTCTCACAGTAATGAGCTTAGAGTGAGGATGCAGGCGGGCTTGGATTTGAGAAAGGCGGACATGCCGGAGCCGTTCCTATGCGGCAGCGGTACAGGAAGTGTCCTAGAGCTGGATTCAAGGAATGGCCACCCACATTCAGGGCTCCCAAGTTTGCTGTGATGTATGCTGGGGTTCTCCAGCCTGAGGAGTAGGGGGAGAGAAATCAAACAGTTGAGTTTACTTGAGGAATTGTGGCAGTCAGTACTGGCTCATGAGGGAGACGGGAAGGAAGGCAAGGAGTTTCTAGTCGGAAGAACTGAGGCAACTGCAGAGGGACAGAATGGCTGTGCGGACGGAGCAGGGACAGTGGGGGCTGGAGAGAGAAAGAAAGGCTGTGTTCGGAGGGATTGGTGCTGAGGTCTCGAGGGCGAAGCAGTTCCAAGTGAGGCATGGCCCCGCTGGGAGAGGGCTGCGAGGAAAGCAAGCTAACACTGACTAAGCAGCCCAGTGCCCGATGCCAGGCACTCCAGTCATCAGCTCACTTAAACAGCATCCCAACTTTACAAGGATGTGCTACTGTAATATTTATGGGTGAGCAAACAGGTTCCGAGGTCAACAAATATCATTGTCAGCAAGCAGCGGAACAATTTCAAATCTAGATTTGACTCTGAAGTCTGCACCACACTTTAACACAACTTAAATCAGAAACAGTAGAGCCGGAATTTCAGGGAATCCATGTATGCAGATGTGGGAGTCATCTAGGTTGCCAGTGGAGGTAAAAATACCTGTTGTTTTGAGTAAGACTTTCAATAAACATAAAAATAAAAAAGGAAAAAAAATCAGTTGCCAACTTCTAGAGAATGGCTAGTAGCAAGCAGAACAGGACAAAGTAGTCCAAGCAGATGGCATG